>NC_000018.10:51229242-51529909 GCF_000001405.40 Homo sapiens | reverse complement strand
TTATGCATGAATATGAGACTCATTTACTTTTCATTAACTTATGTAAAATTCCATTTAAAAGATATTCCACCATTACGGAAATTATATTCTGGTCAGTGAGCATTTTGATTGTTTCAGGATTTTTGTTCTTACCAACCATGCTCCAGTGAATGTTACCACATGGGTCTCAGTGTGTATATTTAGAGTATTTCTTCATGACACCTATGAGTGAAATTGATCATTTGTAGAATAATTAAGTGTTCAGCTCTATCAGGGAATGAAAACAATGTTTTTTAAAGTAGTTGTATCAACTAACACTCTACTGTAAAAAACACGAGACTTCCCATCAATCCGCATCCTCACCTGCATTTGGTTTTGTCAAACTTCTTGATTTTTTGCATTTTTGTGTGCACTTAATTTGCATTTCTTGATAACTAATGGTGTATCTTCACTTATATCCATTTGCCATTTGTGTTTCCTCTTCTATGAAATGGCTATAATCTTTTGCCCATGAACAGAATTATTTTTCAGTTATCGTTTTTCTTTCTGATGTGTGATCCTCTGCAAATATATGCTGTGTGGCTTACCTTTTCAGACTTTTTTTGATAGAGACCTTTATTTCCTTAATTTTAATGTAAAATATTGACTCATCAATTTTTTTCCTCTCTGTTAAGAATGATTTCTCTACCGAATGTTTCAATTAAATTTAAAATGTTTGCCTTTCATGTCTAGCTCATTAATCCATTGGGAACTGATTTTTTATATGAGAAAGGGGACTAAATCCACTTTTTTTCCCATGTGGAACACCATCTTTCCCAACCCCATTTCCTGACTATTCTATTTTTTCTCAGTGGTCTACAATATTACCTATGTCAAATATAAAATTTCCCAATATGCTTGGGGCTGCTTCTGAACTCTCATTTTCTTTTATTGGCCATTTTATCTATCACATTAGCAATACAGCACTATTTTAATTACTAAAGCTTTATATAATTACTAAAGCTTAATATAAAAAGAAAGTCTCCCTACCCCTCCATCTTACTGTTCTTCAGGACTATCTTGGTGATTCTTGGGCTTGCCTATGACATACAATATTCTAACAAGTAACACCGGCCTCACGATAGGCCAGATTATGCTCTAAGAACTAACAATCTCCATATCTGAGTGGTTTAAAACAAACAAAAAAAAAGGTGATTTCTTGTTTATGCTACATAATCTTTTTTACTCTTTTCCATGACAGCCCCATTCTAGGGGTCAGGCTAACAAAGCAGTCATCTAAGACTCATTGTTTTCCCTCCACGGTAGAGGGTAAGAGGGCAGGAGGACAGCTCACTGTCAATCAAACTCTGACAGGAAGTAACGTGTACTTCCAAATACAGCTCCTGGGCCAGAGCTGCTCAAGTGCTCGCAGCAAACTGCAAGGAAGCCAGAAAGTGCAGTCTACTATGTATCAGAAAGACAGTCAAAAACCTTTGTCAAACTAATGGCTACAACCTGGACCATGACCTCAAAAGCCCATGCCTCAGTGCCTTCCAAGAATCTTACACAAGAATACAGATAGAAATAGGGGGTGGCAGGTCAATAACCTGGATACAGAATCTGAAGAATCCCACTTCATCATTTGTCATTTATTTGGTGGAATTTTAGGTTTAAATCAAGACTTTAGTTAAATAAGCTTCTGCCAAATGCTGTGGAAGTAGAATAATATCAGTCACCTCTTTGAGAATGGAAAGTATTGAATCAGAAAATGGGTTTACCTTCTTATATTAAAGGAAAATTAGGAAGCTGTCCACTTGAACCTAAAATTCCTTTGTTCCAGATGCTTTCTTATAAACCCCTTCCCTGTGCTAGCTAATCAGAAAGCCCATTTGTTGACTAATCCCATGGAAGATGATGTTTCAAGTAAGAGTGTGTCTGACTATTCGTGACTAATTTTTGCCACAAATTACAAATCCTCTCTTGTTATTTCCTGACATTCAATGTAAAGAGATGAGGACTCTGTTGCTCTTAATTCTTTTAGTATGCATCCAGCCTATACTAGCCTGAAATAGGAGACATTTTAGATAACTTTGAAAAGTCATAGAATATGACTTTCAACTAATTATTTATCATTGTACCTGGTGTTAATAAATTTATTGTTTCAAGTAAGACAGAATTGACAATGATCTTATCTATTGATGTTTTGTTCTTTTTCCACTTAGAATTGACTCCATTATTACACAAAGTCTAAAATGTTTGCTGCAACTGGTTAGTGTTTGAGATAGATATAATTGCAATCTTCCTGCTGCAGTTGTTTACAACAAGCATGCTTTTTAAAAAATGCCTCTATTTATACATCTGGGTACAATACAATGTCTCATTCTCCCATTAATGTGTATAACTAGTCTACACTGTAGAGTTCCTAACTACTAAGCAATAAGCTATGAATCTCCTGAATCCACCTGTCGTCAAGAAGAAAAAGAGCTAGCACTCAATTAAGCACATCTGGTAGAAATATGTAAAAACACACACACACAAAAATTTAAACATAGTAAAATGAAAAGAGTGAGGCCTTGAGTCAGGCTGCCTGGGTTTGAGCCTAGCCTCCACCTGTGAACTGAGACAATTATAACACAGAAATAAAGACCATGGGTTCTAGAATTAGGTTTGCAGATTCCGCCTCATGAGTCTTTGGGAAAGTTATTTAACCTAAGCCTCACTTTCTTCATCCGTAAAATGAAGATGATAGTAGTAGTTACCTCATGGTATATGTATTACATTATGCTTTTAAAGTTCTTAGCATAATTCCAGGCACACAGTAATTGTTCAAGGAATGAAAGCTGCCGTTGCATTAGTAACATTGATATTATCATAAAAATTTATGTATATTTACTACAGGGAAATTTTATTGTGTTTGTCATTATAGGCAACAGCAAGTTCATAAATGATGGATATAGATTTGTCTTCACCTTCCAAAGATCACATTTTTTTTCTACTGGGTCAGCTGGAAAACATAGACTTTTCTGGAAAAATGAACACAGGATCCTAGGAATGGACACAGGCTCAATTGATGGATATTCACAAATGTAGTGATATGAAGGTATATAGTCATATGGCAAAGACTTTCCATACATAGGGGCAGAAACCTACAAGGCAAGCAAGCCCACTGCCTGACCACTGGCTGCATTATCTGCCCCAGGGCTGCTTCTACCCCAGGGGCCTGCAGGTGGTCCTGGAGAGCAAGACCTCAAGAATACAGCCTGGCTTCTAGAAGACAAGAAACCTCCTATGCTTTGTACAAGGATGTGTGGTTGCAGCACAGTAAGAGGCAAATTCAGGTCATCCTTGCAGCCCTCCTGATTTCAGAGGGAGGGTTTCCACTGTGGGCAGAGGGAAGACTCTTGCCCAAGTTACCACAGTAAGTTGGCTGCCACCTTGTCCCCAATTTGTAAACACCCCCACAATCGACAGAAATTTCCAGACTTTCTAATTCAGTGGAACTTGGATGTTCTAAAATAGAATAGGAATCTTATTTTATCTTAAGCATTATATCAAGTACTGGCTTTTTCCTCCCAGGGCTGAGAAATAGTGGAAAATGTCAATGATGATGCTGAACAGAGTAAGACAATAACAAAATTAGCCTCTTTCATGCTAAGGGTCACGAAGATGGGTCTTTTCCATGGATGGCTCGGGGTTGTGTGTACTGCAGGAAGCTCATGACCCATGAGCCACTTGTGCATGATTTGGCCCAAAGAACCGTGCTAATTGGTAACAGGTTGCAACTCTTCATTTCCTTCTCACTCACCTTCTACAAGCACCTTTGGCCTTCTCCTTCACCCTAGCTGTTGCTCATGTGTTCTGAAAGATTTCCCTTCTGCTTTCAAGGGCTAGCCTGGCTTAGTTAGCCACAACGCCCCCACTTCCTGCCCAGATGCCCCTTCATGAATAACCCCATTCATCCCATGCATGGGAGAAATTGGCTCATCCTCAAGCTCTGATTAATACAACCTCCAATACTAGTTTCTTTCCAACAAAGTAACCTGGTTTCCTATCAACAGACCAGTACCTAAAATCTAGGTGGGGTGAGGGGGTAGTTTAAAACAATGAGAAAGTCCAAGAACTTTTTGTTTAATTTTCTATTTGCTAATGACTTGTGCAACTCCCTCCTTTCGTCCCTTTTGCTTGGTTGATTGGTTGGATTTTTCTTTCCTTACTGGGGAAAATTCAGGCTATAACATTTTAAGAAGATTTTCTCTGGTTTGTATGTCAAAAGAATAGGTAAATCTTATGGTCCAGATGGGCCTGTGGGCGTAGTGAATTCCTGAAGAGATTCCAATTCCTAAAAATGTGGGAAACTCCCTCCCTCTGCCTGTAAGTGGCTGATGGGACACAGTGGTGATCATAGACTCAGGAAGACCACAGACAGAGAGGAGTGCATCAGATCATCATGTACTAAAAACCTCCAGTATTAGAATCAAGACCTGGCTTAATCAAAGATATTTACCCATGTCCAGGCACTGTGTGGGTTGCTGTTGAGAAATTGAAAATTGTCACATTGCCCTTGTCACTAATGGGCTCACAATCTATGGTGAAGAAGAAATACATATACAAAGAACTCCAATCCAGGATAGAATGATAGAAATTCCTTAAAAGTTCAAAATAAAAAGATCTGTGAGTTAAAAGGGAAAGAAATAGACAAAGACTAAATGGGGAGACAAAGAATGATCCTATGAAGGAAGTTAGGCTTGAGAAAGACCTTAGAGGAATAAGGAAGTAAGGAGGAATTAATCAGACAGAGACCCTTGCACCGGCTTTGTCTATCTTCATAAGGTGAACCATAAGGAGACATGATGTTATACATCTACTTACTCATCAATCGGTCGTCTCTCCACCCAATAGAATATGAGATCCATGAAGACAGAGGCTCTAGATGTCCTGTTTTTGTCACAGCACCAAGAGCAGTGCCTGCCACATAGTAAGCACATCATGGCTATTTGTTGGATACGTGATTGAAGTGTCCAAGTAGTCCAGGCAGAAGGGACAATGTAAGCAAAGAAAGACTGAGATTTATAAAACGAACAAACACATACTCATTTGTTGGCTATTCTGTTTCAGGAATTAAGTGCTTCCAAGGTATTCACATTTACTGTCTGTGTCTAACGCAGGGCTCAGCAAACTTTTTCTGTAAAGGGCCAGATAATAAGTATGATAGGCCTTCCAGGCCATACCGTCTCTGTGGCAACTACTCAATTCTGCTGTGGGAGCACGAAAGCTACCATCGATGATATGTTAAAAAATGGGCATGGCTGTGTTGCAACACAACTTTATTTACCAAAACAGACAGCAGGCCCAATTTGGCCCACAGGCTGTAGTTTGCCAATCCCTCCATAAATCAAAGGTAAATAAATTATTGCACTATACACTATTAACCACTGCACATAAATATGTGAGTAAAGAGAGAAAGAGACATATTATGAATCTGTTATGGACTGAATGTTTGTGTTTTCCCAAAATTCATATGTTAAAGCCCAACCTTCAGTGTGGTAGAAGGTGGGGCCTTTGGCAGTTGATTAGGTCATAAAGGTAGACCTAAGCCTTTAAGAATAGTATTAGTGTCCTTATAAGGAGAGGCCAGAGAGGGACCTAGCTCACTCTCCTTCTGCCTTGTGATGATACAACGAGAAGTCGGTGGTCTGCCACCCAGAAGTGAGCCCTCACCAAGAACCCAACCCTGCTGGCACCCTGATCCAGAACCCAACCATGCTAGCACCCTGATCTGGGACTTCCAGTCTCCAGAACTGTGAGAAATAAATGCCTGTTGTTTACAAGCCACCTGGTCTAGGGTACTTTGTTACAGCTGCCCAAACTAATACACAATATCTGCACCATTGATTGATTACCTGACTACAGGTATTTTAGTCCCACATTATCCTAAGGAATAAAGGATTTACTCAGTCACATTAACGTTCCCAGGCATGAGTTGAAAACTCAGCTCAGTTCCCTCCAGAGCATTTTGAACCGTTATCAGATAGGATGAGCAAATTCCTAAGCACATGGCAGAGACACTGGAGCAGATGTCCCCAGGAGAACTTCCTTTCATGACTCAAGTTTAAATTTTCATTTGAAATATATAGATGACTCAGCACACCTCTTGTCAAGTGCAAATATATATGTGTGAATGTGGGATAAAATATTCATGTCTTTTGTGGGGATTTCACACAGAAATTCCAACTATTAGTAGACCATAGTCACGCTGAGATGAAGACAGCAACAGTATAATATCGACCAGGTTGTACCACAACCCAGATTTAGTGACATGGAGGTGGCTGGCCATGTACTCAGACAAGTTAGAAGGAAAGCTGATGCAGGCACAGCTAGGGCTGCAGTAACTGACACAGAAATTCAGGCTGTCAGGAAGTGGAGCCCAAGGAAATCAGCCAGAGCAGCAAGGGTCAAGCAAGTATCAAAGGTGTAAGAAGGTCAGGGGTAAAACCTAGAAAACAACCAAGACTGAAAGGTTCAGACAGCTTGCCACTGGTTCAGAGAAGTCAGGAAAGGGAGCCAAAGGAGCCCAGCACAAAGCTGACCATTGGCCTCTTGGCCACATCCCAGGAGATTTGTCAGGTGGAGACTTACCAGCCCTTCCAGTGTATAACATTGTTCTGTTCATGCAGTTCTCCTTATCTTGTGAGCAATGAATGTTGGCCAGGAAGACTCAAAAGTCACATCCAGGTTCTTTACCCAATGTCAAATATATCAAGTTAAATCAAAGGTTTAATTCCTTGCACCTTTATCATTCCTCATTTCTACACTTTCTATGGATGAGAGATTGATGCTAATGAATAAATAAATGGGAGTCTTGTGGCAGACTCATCTTCCATGCCTGAGCATGCAGATAGATGCATGCCTGCCTGCATTCCCCACCTTCCTGTCAGCCATATGACTATGCATAATCATGCATTCCCAACCTGCCTGTCAGCCATATGACTGTGTACTAACCGATGGGATGAGAATAGGAAGTGATGGGCTGTAACTTCCAGGCCTGGCCCCTAAAACTTCCCAAATGTGGTCTTTCATCTTTTTTTGTTTTGTTTTGTTTTGTTTCGTTTTCGCTGTTGTTGTTGTTTTTTACAAAGAGAAACTCAATATTCTTCTTCAAAAAAAATGCACCAAAAAGGATTGAGTACAGAATCACCCCTGGCCACATCCCCCACCCTAAGCAGGGTCTGAGATGAGGCCAGGCCTCACCTGGGCTTGGGAGAAACTGAATGGGCTCCCTGTAGCCTTGGCGAGGGAATCAGGGAATCAGGCAGGCCTGGGAGTGTGACTTTGCTGTTAGCACCAGGAGCCGCCCGCAGCTGGGCTCAGCGACAGGGCAGCACATGGCCTTGTTGGCTCTACCTGAGGGTCTGGGGAAGGGCTGGTGTCAGAAAGCTCCCTGCAGGAAGTCACCTGAATGACTCTCAGATTCCCAGACCCCCTCCACCCCCCACCAACCGCTGTAAACATGAGAATGGGCTCGAGAGCCCCCCACCGTTTCAAGCACCTCAGGACAAGATGAGGGTCTGAAATGTGTGGCTGGGCTTCAGGCAGCCCAGGAGCTGCCAGGCTTTCTCCCCTTCCACTTGGCTGGAATGGAAAAGACCCCCAGGGAAAAATGGGAGTGTATATAAGATGGCAAAGGGACAAGATTGAAGGAACCCGGGTTCCTGAATCACTGTGTGGAGGGGAGACAGCAGTCCAGGAGAACCATCATTGTTCTGTGATATGGGCTTTAAGCCTCTGAGATTGGCAGTATATCTATTGTGGCAGTCCACATTACTCTAACTAATGTACAGTAGAAGAACACACTTAGGTATTGGAAAATCTCTGCGACCATCTCCTGACTTCACAGAGCCTTCACACTGTAAAACTCAGTGTGAAAAAAAATGAATAAGAAGAAATAAATGAAATTAAGTTAAATGAACATTCTTCTCATTTAAGCAAAGTTCAATCATATTTCCTATGCATAAAGAAAATAAATAAGTAGACAAATAGCCCTTGGGAACTGAGATAGGACTAAAGGATCTAAACGGATCTAATTCTTATAGACCATTGAGAAAATGGTGAAAATAAGAGACTTCTGAAAATGACCATACTATGAAATGCATAGGAGGACCACTGGCAGACACCAAAGAATAGTTTCTTTTTCTTTTGCCTTAAAAATTACTGTTATTTTTTCTTTTTCCTCTCTATTCTCTCAACTATCATAGTTGTCAGTTAGTCCCACCTAACACTTGATTATGTAATATCTTTCCTTATTAGTTTCATGCAAATAACTGCAACTAAATTGCAATTCCCTAAGGGCAAGGACCAAGTTGTCAACATTTTTCATTCTGTCCCTTACCAGCTTCTAAATTGAGTCTACCATACGTCTCGGCCCAAGATCCACAATCATCATTGATCTGTGACCAGGTCCCTGTTTTGTTGTTCGGTTTGGTTTGGTTTGGTTTGGTTTGGTTTGATTTGGTTTGGTTTGGTTTGTTGTTTTCCCCCTTTATCCTCCAACCCCAATCTCAATTTCCCTTTCCCCAATAGAATTACTCACTTTAGTTTATTAAATGCATATATTCCCATTCCATCATTCATATTGTCATTTAGATATGTGTTCAACCTTGAAAAATAGTTGACATTATTTTGTGTGTGCATATTATATTTATAAATGATATATTACTATTGATCCCATTGTGTACCTTGCTTTTTTCATTCAGTCTTTTGTTTTTGAGGTCTATGTATGTTGCTACATGTAAATTTAGCTCACTTCTTCTGACTCATCCATAGTATTCTCTAGCATGATAATTGATTTTGAATCCATCCACACATCATAAAAGTAAGTATAACAAAACAACTTGATGAGAAAGTTCCTAGTTGGCCATGAATTGTCTGGATTAGACTGGAATTTTATTAAATTTAACTATTTGGTTAATGACTCAGAATCAGATTTGGCAGTGTGTTCATTTCATTCACAAATGATAAGAGTTTTAGAGGTAAAGAGAGTAACCGGATGACACCCCACTCTCACCCCTCCCAGCCTGCTGTCTCTGTCATAATGTCCTCTGTCTTTATCTGATTGTAAATTTGTGAGAAATTAACTTCAGTAGTTTCCTGTTTTGCACAGCTTCTGTAAAATTGGCATGTTTGGGCAGTTCTTGGGAAGACAGAAGTGACTTACTGATGTTTTTCTTTAGATATCAAGAATACCATATTTTATCTTTCCTCTATCCTACACCCTACCATAATCACTCCCTCCTTTATGCAAAAAAGCGACGGTTATGATCTGAAACATGAAGCCCTAATTCAGTGTTTCTTAAGGTATGGTTCACGATGTCACAAGAATGTCACAAGAATGCCTCACAATGGCATCAGAAAGCCTCAGCATTTGTTAAAACGATGATCCCAGAGCCTTCCCCAGCTGAATCAGATCCTCTGATTAGGAGTAAGACCCCAAAAATTGCACTTTTTTCCACCTCCTTTGGTGACCATTGTGCATATAAAGGCTCAAACTCCTCCGTTATTTATTATGCATATAAAGGCTCAAACTCCTCTGTTAGTTATTCAGTGTGGAAATTAATGGTATTTAATGGGTCCAGATCGCAGCATACTTCATGGTTTTAGAATACTGTAATGAAAGCTACTCACCTGGCTTTACCACCTGGGCACTTGATCTTGAAATGTATAGCAAGAAGGATCCATGTAAGTACAAGCATTTATATGAAACAATAGCCAAAGAGGCTTGTTTCACTTCAGGACTTTATAAAGATAACAGATTACTTCAAGATATCAGTTCAAGTTCTATATTCTATGCAGAAAATCATACTCTATTTTCTACACACACTTCTAGGTAACTGAATTCTGAACAGAGTTTCCTAATTGAGGAAATGGTGACCTCCTTTAAAGCTAAAAAGTCAAGCCTCATCCAATCCACATTCTCTTCTCCTGGAATACAGATGCTCTACTGTTAGAATTTTGTACATTCATCTTTGTGCACATGTTTGCCAATACTTGACTTAAAAAAATGGTGCCTGAGCCTGCTCTTTCCACAATTGGAAAGATTCTTTTAAGTTCACTGTAACCGGCAGAGATCCTTCCTACTAAAATCAAAACAGAAGTGAGATCCCTTGTTACTTAGAATGTGAGAGCCCTGCTGCTTCTTGTGCAATCCCATTAAACATGACTCCAGTGATAATGAGGTTCACATTGGCTGGCACATGTGAGAAGGCAGGGTGTATTCAGCTCTGCCTCCTGCTCCAGGGCCATCTTTAGCAGGGCAATGGTAGGGGGAGCAGCACTGTCAGTGGGGGGAAAGACACAGGTCCAAGCCTCATGGGAAGTCCTGATGCACAGGCGTGTACTGAGCCACACAGCATGAGCCAGGCATCTATTTGCCTCTGGCTGCCACATAGCACCCGGGCACTGAGGGCTAATGGCTCACAATTCAATGAAGTACCCTTGGAAGGGTTCGATGCAGCTTGCCTCATCAAATCAAGGCTCAGATGAAGGCTTTATTTTTTGGACAATAATCACTTAAAACAAAAAATTGCAATCAGCATTTCTGATTATCAACAAATCATTTGGAAATTATTATAATGATCTGATGAAATTTGTAGCTATTTTAAGCTACTTCCTAAGCAATATTTTAATACATGCATTTATATATGTATTATACATTACATTATTAAGTGTTTTTAACATCACCTTTGAGTGCACACATATGCATGCTTGTGCACACATGAGTGTGTTTGGCTGGGAGAATGCAGTGAAGATTAGTATTTGATTTCTTTATGCCCAGTTTTGTGTAAGAAAAATCTGACTTTAAATCATAGAACTAGGTTTATATTTTAGTGGCGAGATGTTCTCAGCCTGATACCAATTAAGTAGATTGGCTGGGCTTCTAATCATTCTTTTAAATCCAAAGGCTGAAAGAGTGGTGTATCTTATTTTAGCTTATAACGCTTAGGAAAATATCTGTCCCTTTATCAAGACAGATAGTCCTTAGTCTCCTTGCACATCTTAATAAGTGTTTGAAGACACCCAAAGATTTATGTGAGATTACACTTATCAAGGGAATGGAGATCAAATACCTTGACCACTAAGAGCCCCCATAGTCAGGCTTAAATCACCCAACCTTCCACCAACACACACCTTCACTCCATTCCAGACAGGCTCTTCTATTCACTGTCTCCAAAATAATGCATGCTGTTATGTGCTTTCTTGCCTCTTTCCTTTGCTATCTCATGTATCAACATCTCTACCTTTTCCCAAACTGGGTTACCTTACCCGTTCCTTTTAGCTTTTCCAAATCTTGTTCACTCTTTAGGATCCAAAAACTGTTCCCATTGCTTAACATGCATGGCCTTGCCCCATGCCCAGCCCTCAAAAGCCCTGCTCCATCTGAGTTCATGTAGCATATACCACGTACTCATTTTACATTTATCATGTGCTGTCGTGATGTCTCATGTCTGTCCTGAATTTTTGTTTTTGTTGTTGTTGTTGCCGTGTTGCCTGTTCTATTGCCCTTAACTTTTCAAATGCATTATGCCTTCTATGCCTATGTAGATTGTAAACTCTTGAGGGCAGGGCTTATTATTTTTGAGTCAACGGTAGCCCTGGGTTCAGGAACCTGCACAGAGAAGTGTACATCAAAGTCCCCTTGTTTAATTTCTCTTGAAAGACTTCCTCACTGCTTCAGGCACTCCCTTTGTCAGCAAGTCTAAAAAAGTTGCTTGTTGTTGCCATTCAATCCCTTCATAAAGTGGGCAGTGTCCTCTCACAGTAAATGTCTTTCTTCTCATTTATGACATTTTTTAGCAGAAAATATATGAACTACATCACTTAAAAATACATTTAATATACCCTTTTTCAGACAGGCAAAAATAGTTATTCTTAGTTAAAATACATTTTGAAAATTGTCACCTAGGGTCGAAGATTCTAGATTGTAAGCTCCGCTGGATATAGTGAGCATTTTAAAGATAAGAAGTAAAAATGATACCTTTTAATTTATGCATTATTTTTAGACTACATCTCATAGGCAAGATTCAATCTATAGCAAAGGCACCTTAACTTTAAAAAGAGCAGTTTAGCAAATCATTCCCAAGGATGCTCAGACTCACTGGTGTAGTTCAGGAATTCATGACAGCTTAAATCTGCTTTGGGGCACATAAGTGCTTTCTCCGGAATGCAAGTTTCTCATTTAGACTTCACTTAATGCACAGACTCAGGAACAGAATGGTTGGGAAGCAGCAGTTCTCTGTGTGTGACCCACTGAGGATTGATACAGGAAAGGGAAAGTTTGCTTCATTAGAGTTTAGGTCCTTGGTGTGATTTTGCAAAACATTAGATCTCTCCTAACTGTGATAGTAAGAAACTAGCATCAGTCAAACAATTTTTTCACTCAATCTTGTTTTCCTCACCTGTGGAATGAATATCCTAATATTATCACTGCCTCATAAGGTTCTTGGGTTGACCCCAGAAGAGGCAAATACCATCAACAGCATCTGGGGAGTAAGTTAATGAATAGACTTCAGTGCCTGCACTCTTGCTTTTGAAATCACACTAGTTCGAAACTCTCACTTTCTCTTGAATTACAATATGTGTTTCCTTGAAGGTTTATCTCTCAGGAAAACTCCCTCAATGCCAATGTAAATTCTGTTCCAAGCCCAAAATTAAATCACATCCTATGCAACTCAGAGGTCATAAAAGTAGATAAAAGGAAAGCTGAGTGAATAAAGGACACCAGTTCTTCTTGGAGGGAAAACAAAGTTTGATTGTTTTTTTTTAAACTCTGAGACTTCTGAGATGCAATTCTTCTAATCTCTGAGATGTGCAGCCTAGAGATTTTCAAGAATTGAAAAAAAGAAAATCCAAACAAAGAGAAAACACATTTTAAAATTTTAACCATGGTCTTGAGGTTCTGTGGGGATAGCACCATCTAACCTGTTGTCTGTTGATGCATAACATACCATCCCAAAACTCAGTGGCTTAAAAATAACAACCATTTTATTTGCTCATGATTCTGTGGGCCAACAATTTGAACTGGGCTCAGCTGAGTGGTTCTTCTTCTGGTCTCACTTGAGATCACTTACGTGGCTGCAGTTATTTAGTGGCTCAACTGCAGTTCAACGATGTAATGTGACCTCACTCGCTTGTATGGTGGCTGGTGAGACTGTCGGCTGTGTCATGTGTTTCCAGCAAGCTAGCCTGAGCTTGGCCACATGGCAGATGATTTTCCAAGAGGGTGAGATCAGAAGCCTACACCTAGGCTTGCAATTCCCACAGTGTCCCTTCTGCTGCATTCTATTGGTCAGAGCAACCACAAAACCAGGCCAAATTCAAAGGGAGGGAAATAGAGCCCAGTCTCCGTGGGAGAAACTGCAAAGAATCTGTGGCCTTTTTAGTCAACCACACAGTCTAGTTTCCAAAACACAGAGGTGGGACTAAGTATTCTGACCTCAGAAGAATTTTCTTTTTTTAAAAGATTACTTCACAGGACAAAAAAAAAAATTGTTTTTTGGTAGAGATGGGGTCTCTCTTTGTTGCCCAGGCTGGCCTCAGGAACACTTATTTTGTGACAATATCAGGACCACAGGTATTAAAAAGACTCAAGGTTAAGATATACATAGCATGGAATCAGAACACAAATAATGAAAATTGATTATTCATGAACTGAATAGTCCAACAGTGATAAAAAAAAAGTGTGTGTACATATATATATATATATATATATATATTTTTTTTTTTTTTTTTAAATAATACATGACCATGGTATGAATATGAAACTTGATGAGTGATAGGGTTAAATCCCCTTGGAAATAAGCTGGGAAGATTTTGCAAAATATTCATACCCAAGCCTCACCTCAGATATACTAAATAAAAGTTCCCTGGATGAGAGTTTTTCCTTTATTGCTTAAATTTTTATAATGGAAATTTTCAAAGATACGCAAAGGTAGAGAGAATAATATCATGAATTCCCAGGTACTCATCACCCAGCTACAACAATTAACAGTTTCCCAATCTTCTTTTATCTTTCAGTGCTCCACACTCTTTTTTCTTTATGGTATATTAAGGAAAGTTTCAGACAATATGGTATTTTACTTGATATGTGTATCAAGTAAAGACTTCCCAGATGATTGATACACAAGTGGCTGTGACAGAAATAGTTGGTGGTCACCATGTAGTCCATGAGCTCCTCTACAATTCCCAGCCTTCTTTGTACTTGGGTCAGGGCCATGTGACTTTTTCTGGCCAATAGCATAGCCTACGCTGAGATTTAAAAAAAAAAAAAAAACTGGTAAAAAAGAAACACAATGTTAGGGGCCCTATTTGCCACTAGCTTACCATATGAGCAGAGGCAAATCAGCAAAACTCTTTAAGCCTCAATTTCTTCATTCATAGAATGGGTAACAATCACATCCGTGGTCTCTACCTCACAAGGTTATCATAAGCGTGATATAGTGAAAGTAAAATCATTTGACAAGTTAGAAATTATTGTAAAATGTGATGTTTTACATCGTACGAGCAATAATTTTAAAACATAGTAACAGCTACGCACACTTGTCAGAGAGAAAAGCTTTTATAATTTATAATGTTCATATTTTTAAAATTACTAACATTGGAGTTGCATGTGTCTATATCCACGATCTGAAAACTTTAGTGGTAGAGTATATGGAGAAGAGATAGTTTTGAATCAAGCGATCCATTCTCTGCCACTCTTTGTTTATTTTGACAAATTTTCTTGAATACTGTATTAGTATTTTTATTGCTGCCGTAACAAATTGTCACAATCTTAGTGGCACAAATGTATCATCTCACAGTTCTGCAGGTCAGAGGTCAGGGCTCGTTGTGTTAAAGTCAAGGTGTTGCCGGCTGTGTTCCTGCTAGAGGCTCTGGGGGAGAAGCTGCCTTCAGGCTCATGCAGGTTGTTGACAGGATTCAGTTTCATGCGGTTGCAGGACTGAGGTCCTGCTTCCTTGCTGGGTATAGCTCTCATCTTCTCACAGCTACCTACATGCCTTGGCTCATGACCCCTTTGTCTTTAAAGCTAGGAAGAGCAGTTGAGTCTTCTCATGTCTCAGGCCTCTCTCACTAACTTCAGCTGATTTTAAAAGCTCATGGGGTCAGATTGTCTACTGAACAACGCAGGATACTTTCCCCATCTCAACATCTGTAACGTTAATCACATCTGCAAAGTCCCTTTTGCCATGTAACTTAACATATTCACAGGTTCCGGGGATTGGAATGCCATTATCTTTGGAAGGTCATTATTCATCCTACTGTAGCCATTGATTCTTGCTTTATGTTCTCAGTATCCTATCTTACGTCACTGGAAATATTACTATGGCTGGGTTTTAGCTTTTTATTTTTAGCATACTGTCTTTTCAGTATGTTTAGTTAGATCTAGTTACTGTGACATATTCCATTCTATGTTTTACATTGCATTCCACTTGTTGTCTTTCTTATATAGTGCTCGGGCTTCTTAATGCCTCATGAAATTTGCCAGAGAGCTCATCCACATGACCTTTAGACTGTAGGCTGCCTCTCCTTTTCACATCGTGTGTGTACTCTTGAAAGCTGTGACTCAGCTTGTGTTTTCCTCCCCAGGCCTGAGGCTTGGGCAGGCCATGTCTTGCATTTGAAGGGCTCACATTTGAGGGCCTCTCCTGATATCCTGTGAGAGACTGGTTTGGGTTTTTGAGCCACTCTGCCTCTAGCTGGGACTTCTATTTTCTGTTCCTCTCCCCAGTCCCCATTGAGGCAGTGCTATTTAAGAGGCTGAGGCTTGAGGCAGGCAGGTTGTTTTGCCAAGCCCCTGCATTATAGGGATGCTGAGATGCAATTCTGTCTATGGATGAGAGGCTCAGCTTAGCTCTTCCTGTCCAGAGGTTGAGATTGGAGCTTCCTACCCAGTCAGCGCAAACTGATGTTGGAGGGGAGAGTATATGCCCAGAAATCTCCACCTGCCCTTCTGTAGTCTGTGGCCCTCTGGTCTTCTCCCCTGGTCCTCTCTCACCCAAGGCTGTCTCTCCACCCTACATCATGTCCCATTAGCTTCAGATGGTAAGGGCTTTTCACAGCTTTCTCCCAGTCTGTTGAATGTAGTTGGGTATTCCCTCTGGCTGTCCATGCCTTTTCTGGCAACTTCCTGGCTGGTGTTTAGTGAGTGATGCAATGCCAACCTTAATCCCTTTGAATCACTTGGGCAGTGTCTAGCTGTAGCAGCCACTCACTGCATTAGGGACTGTCTAGATCCAGCTAATTCATTCAGAACCTCCTAAGCTTCCTGTACAGTGTACATAATGAAAGTCAAACTGGGTAAAGCCAAAGATTACATTTGCAAGCTAGGAAACACACATACACAAAATCAGAAGGAAGAAAGACATGGAAAATATACAAACTATGTTAATGAATATGAGGTCAGGAGTAAAAGTGTCCATAGCAGCTTAATAAAAATCCCATAAGAACAGGAAAAAGAAGCTACAGAGGGGGCAATATTTGAAGACATAATAACCAAGAAATTGCCTCGTAATTAAAAATAATTATAGTACATACTGAAAGGGCTAATAGAATATTTACCAAGAAGACATAATAATATTTCAAAAATATAAATAAATAAGCAACCAAACCCACACCCAGGTATATCATAATTTAGTAACATCAAGAAGAAAAATTGAAAACTAAAAACTTTACAGAGGGAAAAAGTAGAATAAAAATCAGAAGAACATCATTCTTCTCAACAGAATACTAGCAGTCACAGGAAAATAAAGAATAACTTCTACCACTGAAACAGTACATTTTAAGTGTTCTCACCACAAAAAATGCTAAGTATGTGAGGTGATGGATATATTAATTGGCTTGATTTCATCATTCCACTATGTAAACGTATATCAAGACATCACATTGTTAGGCCCCATAAATATATAATTATCATTTGTCAATTAAAATAAAAGTAAATAAATTTTAAAAGTGAAACACCTATGTAAAGTTTTTCTTAAAAACTTTAATGGTTTTAATTACATGTGAGTGATGAAATAAAGGTGTTTTCAATAATACCAGGCCTTAAAAGTATTCCAAGAGAACCAAGAGCAAACAAACCCCAAAGCTAGCAGAAGACAAGAAATAACCAAGATCAGAGTGGAACTGAAAGAGATAAAGACATTTTTAAAAACCCTTCAAAAAATCAATGAATCCAGGAGCTGTTTTTTAAAAAATTAATGAAATAGACAGACTGCTAGCTAGATTAATAAAGAAGAAAAGAGAGAAGAATCAAATAGACACAATAAAAAATGATAAAGGGGATATCACCACTGACCCCACAGAAATAGAAACCACCATCAGAGAATACTGTAAACACCTCTATGCAAATAAACTAGAACATCTAGAGAAATTAATAAATTCTTGGATACATACACCCTCCCAAGACTAAATCAGGAAGAAGCTGAATCCTGAATAGACCAACAACAAGTTCTGAAATTGAGGCAGTAATTAATAGCCTACCAACCAAAAAAAGCCCAGGACCAGATGGATTTACAGCTGAAGAAAAAGAAGTTGTCTAAATTTTCCAATGAGGTTAATATTATGTTGATAGAAAAACAGAGAGACAGCACAAGAGACTTTTGTTTCCAGTCTAAAAGGGACTAGATTTACCCTCTCACCTGAGACAGTTTTTAAAAATAGAAATATTAGACATTAGACACATTAGACAACAAAAGAGAATAATCCCTGAGAAAGGGTAAACAATGTAAGCTCCATGATTGCCCCAGAATATTGCCTGCAGAGTTTCCAGAGAAAGCTCAAGAGATCAGCAGAGGCTCCCCATCAAGTCTTCAGCTGAGTACAGCTCAGTGGATACATGTGAGGAAATTAGCTAATGATGAGGAAAAAACTATCCAAAGAAGCCGAGGGAACGATGCTTAAAGCTCACATAAGGCTAAAACTAGTATGTATTCAAACCAGCCAGAGTGGAAAACCTTGTAATTTCACAGAGCATTTAAGTAGAGTATATGGAATGGTATGGTTTCAGTAGTGGGGTAAAATTAGCCTTAAAGGCCTCTCTAGTTCTGCCTAACAAAAGTTGAAAGCAAGCCTTGAAAGGAACAACTGTTTCTAAGTAACTTAACTGCATTCTAGAACAAAGTTCAAATATTTATAGAAGAATAGATAAAACTTTCAGCATCCCATATAGTAAAATTCTCAATATATAGCATCAAATAAAAAATTACCAAGCATGCAAAGAAATAGGTAAAGATTAGCCATCATATAGAGTAAGATTAATCAATGGAAGCTGATCCAGAAATGACACAGAACTACAAAATTAGTAAATAAAAATAGTAAAGCATGTAACTATATTCTATATGCTCAGGAACATAGAACAAAGATTGTGCATGCTATGTAGAGACATAGATGGTTTTTAAAAAATACATGACTTAAAATTTTAGAGATAAAAATATGACTGTGATGAAAATACACTGGGTGAAATTAACAGTATCTTAGATACTAAAGAAGAAAAGATTAGTGAACCTGAAAACTTAGCATTAGAAACTGTCTGAAATGAAGCACAGAGAGAAAGAAAAATTGAAACAAAAGTGGCCAGAGCATTAATGGGCAGCCTAATATACATGTAATTTAAGGAGAGTAAAATGTTTGAAGAAACAATAGCCGGAAATTTTCAAAATTTAGTGAAAGAAAAACACGGATCTAAGAAGCTCAGCAAATCTCAAGCAAGAAGAAGCATGAAGAAAAGTACACTGCAACACATCATAGGCACAGTACTTAAAACCATTGATGAGAAATTCTTGAAAGCAGAATTATTGTAATAAAAGTTGTATTATGTACAGATAAAGATAATAGCCAACTTCTCATTGGAAATAATACAACATTGGAAATGTTGAAGCAACATTGCTAAAGTGCTAAAAGGGAAACAAATGCTGACTTAGAATTCTACACCAAGTGAAAATAATTTTCAGTAATAAAGGTGAAATAAAAATGTTTTTCAGATATACAAAAGCTGACTAAATTCATTGTGCACAAACTTGCACTACAAGGCAGAAGGAAAATGATATTGGTACAGTGTACATTGCTCGGGTGACAGATGCACCAAAATCTCAGAAATTACCACTAAATAATGTATCCCTGTAACCAAAAACCACCTGTTCCCCCAAACTATTGAAATTTTAGAAAGATGGAAGTAGGGGTCTACACAAAATAATGAAGAACACTAGAAAAGGTAAATCTGTGAGCAAATATAAAAGACTACTTTCCTTGTTTTTAAAATCTCTTGAAAAGATAATTGTTTAAAACAAAAATAAAAAAAACAGTTTTTAATATATATAAAATGTATTACAATAATAGCACAATAGCCAGGAGGGGGACATGAAAATCTGCTATAATGAGGTTGTTATGTCTCATGTACTATAATATTACTTGAAGGTAGACTATGATAGGTTAAGGAGGTATACCATAAGCCCTAAAGCTATCTAAAAAATAAAAATAAAATAAAAATTAAAAAAAAAGAGGTATTGCCAACAAGACAACAAAGGAGGTAAAATGGAGCCATAAAGTGTGTTTACTTAGTCCAAATAAAGACAAAGAGGAAAAAGGGAACAAAAAACAGATTGGAAAAAAAAAAACTGAATAAATAGCAAAATGGTAGATTTAAGCCCAACTATAGCAATAATAACATTAAATGTAAGTGGTCTAAATACCCTAAAGAAAAGACAAATTATCAAATTGGATAAAAAATGAAGACCCATGTAAGGCAGGCACAGTCTTGTTTATAATTATCTAAACTTAGAACCTAAACAGATATACACAAAATTATGAAATAATGTTGTATGGATTTCAGGAATACAATTACCTCATAAATTTTTAAAAGACTGCATTTTGATATTACTTTAGAAGTGTATCATGATATTTTTAACATTTTGCAAAATAACATTATCAACACCAACACTTCTCACAGCATTTGAGACACATTTCAACCTACCTAATGTGTCTGAACTTGTAGCTGTTGATTTGCAACAATGCTCCAAATAGATACAAACCTCTATAAAGGGGTTTTGTTTTTTTTTTGGATAGCTAATGACCAGTCATTTACATATTGAAAACACACTACTTTATTAAGCAGCCAGGGTGGCAGTTAAAGAAAAATTTTAAAAATAAATAGAAAACATGTTATTTTATAACCAATTACTTCCTTTCTATTTATTTTTCTTTATCACATTTATGATATAGACTTTTAAACATTATATGTATTGGTGGTTTACATTATATATGAGTTCTATTTCAGGACAACAAAAGTAGCATTCAAGCTCAACCATATCAAGGAAACATTCAAAACGTTTCCCACTGATCAATGTTATTCCATCTATTAGACCTGGAAACCACTGGCATTGACCAGCTTTCATAAATCACAGTTGAGACACCTGAAGTCTAAAGAGGGAAAAACCGACTTATCTGAAGTCACACAACTAAGTTCATACTCCCAGTGATGATATATACTGGATTTTTCAGGACAGTCTTAAATTTAAATATTATGTCTCATTGTTCCTACAAATCACTGAACTATCTTTATTACAATTTCTAGATTACTTATTATAATGCGAAGAAAGACTGAAAAATCAGGACACCAGTTCTTTAAAATGTCATAGATAATGTCTCAAGCAGGAATTAAAACCAACAAAATTAAACACAGTAAGGTACAACAACAGGAGGACAGATACTCTTCTTTATGAGCATTCAAATAATCTTGGTGGGGGATAGAGAAAGTGGGGAAAGGCTTCTGTCAGTTGAAGACTGTTGGGAGCAAGCCCCCCAAAATCTGGCCATAAACTGGCCCCAAGACTGGCCATAAACAAAATCTCTGCAGCACTATGACATGTTCAAAATGGCTCTAACGCCCAAGCTGGAAGGTTGTGGGTTTATTGGAATGATGGCAAGGAACACCTGGCTCCCCCAGGGCAGAAAACTGCTTAAAGGCATTCTTTTTTTTTTTTTTTTTTTTTTTGAGATGGAGTCTCGCTCTGTTGCCCAGGCTGGAGTGCAATGGCACAATCTCGGCTCACTGCAAGCTCCACATCCTGGGTTCACGCCATTCTCCCACTTCAGCCTCCCAACTAGCTGGGACCACAGGGGCCCGCCACCACGCCTGGCTATTTTTTTTGTATTTTTAGTAGAGACAGGGTTTCACCATTCACAGGATGGTCTCGATCTCCTGACCTTGTGAACTGCCCGCCTCAGCCTCCCAAAGTGGTGGGATTACAGGTATGAGCCATCATGCCTGGCCAAAGGCATTCTTAAGCCACAAACAATAGCATGCGTGATCTGTGTCTTAAGGGCATGTTCCTGCTGCAGTTAACTACCCTAACCTATTCCTTTAATTCTGCCCATCGCTTCGTTTCCCTTAAGGGATACTTTTAGTTAATTTAATATCTATAGAAACAATGCTAATGACTGGTTTGCTGTTAATAAATATGTGAGTAAATCTCTATTCAGGGCTCTCAGCTCTGAAGGCTGTGAGACCCCTGATTTCCCACTTCACACCTTTATATTTCTGTGTGTGTGTCTTTAATTCCTCTAGTGCCACTGGGTTAGGATCTTCCCGACTGAGCTGGTCTTGGCAGAAGACAAAATTGTTTACTAATATAACACTTTCTATTGGAAAGAAAAAACTTGCTTTGAAACTAAAAAGTTTCATGAAAATATCCTGGCTAGTGAAAATAGAGGCTAATAAAAAATTGAATGGTTCAATTGTTCTTAATCAGAGCTATGCCCTGCTAGGATTATATCCAAATATCAGTACAGAATGACAATGAGATTATTATCCTTATCAAAAGATGTTTTAGAAGTTATAGAAACACTAATATAAATTATCTTTAATGGTTCAAACTGGAGTGCCCAGTTTGCCAGCAGCAGCAACCAACACTGTGCCCCCAATATGGTACCATGACCCACCCAGGTGGCAGCTTGGGTACATTGAACCTCTGCCATCAAGAAGGAATTCTCACTGGAATAGACACTTATTCTGGACTTGGATATGTTTTGCTGCTCACCACCCTTCTGCCAACACCACTATCCTAGAACTTACTAAATGTCTATTCGTTTTCAATAGATCCACAATATTGCTTCTGACCAAGGAACTAATTTACAGTAGGTGTAAGAATTTATTGATCTTATCATGTATCTCATCTCCAGAAGTGACCGAGCTTGTAAAACAGTGAATTCCCCTGTTGAAGAAAGATTTGAATCCCCATCTTGGAGACAATTCCTTCCAGGGATGAAGGGCTGTCCTAAAGTGTGTGGAATATTCTCTGGGCAGCAATCAATATATGGTGCTTTCTCTCATAGTAGAAAGATTCAGATGTGGAAACTGAAAGGTGAACTCAGGAGGGCATCTTTTCTTACTCTCCTATAGCACTGATCTATGTTGGTTCAGTAGTGGTAGCCCCCATAGAGAAAAATACTGCCACCATAAGACAGAGCAAATAGTTCCACCAAATTCGGAGCTTGTGCTCTTCCAGTGTCTGGGACCTTTTTGCTTTCTCGTTATTTGGGGATGTAGATGCCTACTTCTGAGAGGCATATTCGGCTTTGGAAATTCAAAGTAGTGGCTAACAACAAGTAAACAGGTCAGTCCCTGCTTAGAACAGAAGAGTACACTAGAGTTAAAGAGGAAAGATTCAAAAGGAAAGTCAGGATTCTTCTAGGGTTTCCAACGTGACTCAACAGAGTGAATAAGAAAGTAGAGAGACACAGCAGAAGCTGGTCTTGGAATAAAGCATGGGCATTAAACCTGAGCTTCCTTCTACAGGGAGAGAATGGTTGCTTTTCCCATGTTACCGATGAGCAAGTTCATGCTTAAAGAAGTTAAGTAACTTGCCCAAGGGTGCACAGACTCGAAGCAGATGTGCCCAGAACCCAAGTCTTAAGAAATAAAACATGCTATCTCTGACTCAATAGCTCTTTAGAAAAATAAACACATACTCCAAAAAGAAGTCACTAAATGTTCTGGGGTGAATTTATGCAGCTGCTGCTTTCCTGTTTACTGGAGATGAAGAGTAAGGAACAGAATATGTTCAAGGGGACAAGGTTGCTTGGTGACCATAAGATATCCATTGGAAAGTCCATGTACTTTGAGGCTAGCCTTGGTTTTGAGAGCAAGCCTGAATCAAAACCACAGCTCTCAGGAAAGCAGAGGATGAGTTTCTCCCAGGAAACTGGCATCAAGTTATCTCATTCACCTTTCTCTCTGTGCCCCAGATCTGACCAACGGGAACTTCCTGCCTGGCACTTTTAATCTCAAGGGAGCAGTGTGCAAAGGTGTAGGGACAGTCTAGTTCACCATTTGATACCACCATTCCTCTGAACTATTGCTGCAGCTAGCTAACTGATCTCCCTTTTGGTCACACCCCTTACTCCCTCAAATCTCTCTTTGCAATAGCCAGACTAATCTATCAAGAAGGCAAAACCAACCGCAGTCCTACACAGACACCTGCATTGGCTCACTACACACACAGAATGCAACCTAAGCTCCTTAACACATTCACTGCCTCCAAGATCTGGTCTCTGTGCAACTCTCCAGCCCCATTGCTTACCACTCTACCTGTTCCACCTTCACAGTAGACTCTACCATCATTGAACCCGTTAGACTTTCTCACTAATGCCCATTCTGTTCTTTTACCTTGCCAGGCCTTTTTGCCTGGATAACTCTTACTATTCTATTCTTGAATCACTCAGATATTTTCTCCACTAGGAAACTTTCCATAGCCATCCCCAACACCATGCAGAGGCCCAGACTGGTTTAGATGCTTCTCCTTTCTTCCAGGGTCCACTCTGCACACTTCTGTTTCAACATTAACCACAATTAAATTATGTGCTATATTTGTGGCTGTATCCTCAGTGAGGAATTTGAGGACAAAAAAATAAATAAATTAAATAAATATGTCTTATTCATCCTGGGATGTAATAAGGATCATTCGTACAAGTGAATTGCAAGCATAGGAGTTCGGATTTTTTCTTATTATCTCTGTAATAAGCTTGCTCTCCTGTCTCCCACAATGATTACTTCATCCCTTCTTCCTGACTCTCATAATTCTGATCAATTTCAGAATTAATCTTCACTTGCAGAGACTCTCATCTCTTACTTCATAATAAAACCAGAAGTCCACGTGAGGGAAATGCCTGCATCTGTTCGCCTCTAAGTCCCCTAGCCTGCCTATATCCCCACCCATCTTCTCCTTTCTTCCTCCTGTTATGATCCCTCCCCCGTCGAAAGGCCCAGTCCACTTTCGTGTGAATATTTTCATGGTTAATGATAGCATTAATATTGGCTCTAAATCCTTCAAGGACCTTCAACCTAGTTTATTTCTGAGTCCAAACAAGCTCTATTCTCTTCCATCTTAAATTAAAAGCAAACAAGGCAAAAAGAACTGAAAACCTTCCCTAACCCAACAATTGCCCTATTTCTCTACGTAACATTCATAGCCCACCTACACAATAGAATTTTCTGCATATCGTGTCTCCAATTCTTCATTTTACTTTTCCTCTTCAGTTTATTCCAATCTATCACCTATTTCTTGCATTCCACAAAACGTGCTATTTTCAAACACATCAACAGTCACACAACTGACGAAATCTTACTAACCCTCTCAGCAGCATTCAACACAGCTCTGTTCTTCTTTTTGAAAAATTATCTTTTCCCAGCTTATGTGACACCACACCTTACTTTCCTGGCTGCCCTTCTACTTTTCTGGCTATTCCTTCTCAGTCTGTATGCCTGACTCTCCTCCTCCATCTGAACATTACTGGAATGAATCAGGGTTGGAACCTGGGCCCTCTTCACTCCTCACCCATCATTTTCTCTCTTGGCAATCTTAGGCACTCCACAGTGCCTATGATTTAGCCCTTTAGATGCCAAAGACTCTCAAGTACTGATCACCAGCCAAGACCTCGCTTCTGGGCTTCACATGGGAATATCCAACTGCTTAGTTGATATCTCCACCTGGGATGTCTCAGGAGCATTTCAAACTTAACGTGTCCAACACTAATCTCTTGATCCTCCCAGCCCCAAACCCTCCATTATCTCCTCTTCCAACCTTTCCCATTTCAGTAAAGGCCCTTTAATCCATGCAGAGCTCATGCCAGAAACCTGAAAGTCATCCTTGGCTCCTTCCTTTCCCTCAGTGCTTATATCCAACCAATGACCAAATCCTGTAGATTTTACTTTCAATATAAACCTCTAGCCCATCCATCCCAGTTGCCACCCTGCTAGTGTGGCCACCATCAGCTCTCCCCTTATTTACTAAAGACTCTCCAATCTAGCTTCTATTGTCTGCACCCTCTAGAATCATTTTTAATTAACAAATATCAAATCTTAACATTTCCCTGTTTAAAACACACTGATGACTTCTATTGCACTTGAGATAAAATCCAAAACCCTTAAAAAAACCCACAAGATGTTACATGATCTGGTCCCTGCCTAATTCACCAGCCAAAACTCATTTCACCCATGCCACAATGGCCTGTTTTCCTTTCCTGAAAACTATCTAGCACATTCCTGATACTGGGTCTTCCTATATCCTACATCCCTCTACCCTGCCCCTGGCTAGTATCTATTTATCAGGATCAATCCTAAATTCATCTTCATTAAAGAAGGCCTCTCTCCTCTCCCAAGTTAAATATGATCTTTTTTTCATATAACTTCCATAGTTCATAATTATTTATTTATTCATTTGAGTACTCATCTAATGACCATAAGCTTCATGGCACCAGGAACTACATTTATGTTGCTCAGAGCTAAGTCCTAGTCCCTAACCCAGTTCCTAGAATGTAATAGGCATTCAAAATATACTTGTTGAATAAATGGCCAAATGAATTGTAGACAACAGAAAGCTACTAGATGTTTTTGTACAAGAGGCTGACCATGTGAAGTCATTATTTGGTAAATTAAATCTTGTTAGTGAACAGAGAATAAATTGGAATGTGAGAAGACTAGAAGTCAGTGATCTGGTTTATTTAAATTGGGGATACTTGCAGCGAGCATAGAGAAGAACATTTGAAGGCTATATTTCAAGAAAAGATGAACTGACTGTGGTGGCCTGAAAAGAGGACTACTTAAAGATGATTATCAATCAACTATTACTTAAGAAACTATTATGCATGTTTACTATGTACCCAGCACTATACTAGCTGCTTGTGGTACAGAGATAAGAATCCTCCAGCCTGCAATGGAATGTTATTCAGCCATAAGAAGAAATGAAGTACTGATAAATGCTGCAACATGAACAAGCCAGATGCAAAAAGCCACAAATTATCTGATTGCATTTATTTGAAATGTTCACAATAGGGAAATCTTTAAAGACAAAAAGCAGAGGCATGGTTGTCAGGGACTAAGAGAAGAGGGTAGTGGGGAGTGCTGATAGGTATGGGGTTTCTTCTGGGAAGATGAAAATGTTCCAGAATTAGAAATGATGGTTGCACAACTCTGTGAATATACTAAATAGGACTGAATTGTAAGTGTTAAACAGATGAAATATATGGTATATGAATTATATCTCAACAAAGATTCTTTTTTTAAAAAAAAAAAAAAGAATACAATAGCCTTGCCCTCAAAAGCTCACAGTGAAGATATTACACAAATGCAAAGCAAAATATGGAAAGTGCTTTGAGAGAGGGAACCACTAAGTCTCCCCAAGACGCTGTAACCCTGGGCTTAATCAGGGTCATCTAGATTGCTGACGCTGGGAGGGGGTTCTGACCTGATTAGACTGGCATTCTAAGGGATGAACATTTACTGCAGGGACAAAGAAAAAGGGATGCAAGATGATGAGGAATTTTCTTCCCACCCCCTCCATACTTTCCCTGGTCACTTTGCAAACCTAGGAACAACCTTCCCTTAAACAGAAAGATATCTTTCTGCATACGCACATTTCAGTGAAATATCAGTTCATGAAAAAGACACACAGCTCAATGTACAGCCTCCAACCTCTATTGTCAGCCCAAAATGATGGCTGACATACAAATCGGGGAGGCCTGGAGACCACAGTACTGCCAATATCAAACAGCCAGTAACAAGCAAGTCTTCATCTCAGATCAGCCTCTGATTGCTTGATATAAAATTGTATAAGGTACTTTCCCTTCATTATAAAAGTGTTTGTCATTTTTGCCTTTTTCCATGCAATAATTTTATTTTAATATAATCATAAAATGTGTATAATTTAAAATTCTATACTTCCACATAACATTATGGCATGGGTACTTAAAATGTTATTACTTACTTTCTTAAGCAATTGGCAACTTTATGATGTTCCATCAAATATATATTTCACAGTTATCTTAACTAATCCCTGATGGTAAAACATTTAAGTGGCTCCCAATCTTTGGCTATTATGAAAATGCAGCAATAAACATTTGTACATAAAACAGTTTCATACTTCGCTTTATTTCACTAAGATAGATTCCCAAAAGTATCATTTATATTCCAATTTATTCTTTTTTTCAGTCCCCTAGCAAAGGCACATTATTTTGTTTATATTGAGCTGAGTCCTTTGATCAGAACTTACAACAGCCTGCTCCTCAAAATGACAATGCAATAATTAAAACTGTGGGAACAGGCCGGGCATGGTGGCTCATGCCTGTAATCCCAGCATTTTGGGAGGCCGAGGTGGGCAGATCACAAGGTCAGGAGTTTGACACCATCCTGCCTAACACGGTGAAACCCCGTCTATACTAAAAATACAAACAAATTAGCTGGGTGTGGTGGCGTGCACCTGTAATCCCAGCTACTCGGGAGGCTGAGATGGGAGAATTGCTTGAACCCAGGAGGCGGAGCATGCAGTGAGCAGAGATGGCGCCGCTGCACTCTAGCCTGAGCGAGAGAGGGGGACTCCATCTCAAAACAAACAAACGAACAAACAAACAAACTGTGGGAACAATCTCCACACTTTCTTGATACATTTAATACAACTAAATGATACATAGTAAAACACCCCTTTAACACTTGTATTGGACCTACTCTGTGCAGAGCATTGGTCTGTTTCAAAAATATTAACTCATTTAACCCTTTCAACAACTCTAAGTAACAACTGTCATTCTTTCCTGTCCTGGTTTTAGTGATGAGGACACCAGGGCAAGGCTGCACAGGTAGTAAGTGATGGAGCCAAGGTAATCCACACTGGGTTCAGAATCTGGCTGCAGAATCTGGGTTCTGGGCCACTACGTGGCACCCACATTTCGATCAGAAGATCCAGGTTCAGGTTCTAGCTCCTCCCCTCACTGACCTATCCGCAGGTCAGTAGGCTGCTCCAACTAGTTCTGTCAAATCTCTTACTAAAACATAAGCACACATGATTTTCCATAAATTCATGTATGTTATCATATAGTGAATTTTTAGTGCAGTCTTCTTTTCTTTTTTTGCTTAGCTACACCCTTCCCCCTTTCCACTCCCTCCACCCAATAGGCACTCACAGCCACCCCTAGATTCCATGTTAATGACCCAGTACTTATCTTTTTATGATTTCCCCATTCTCACAGAATCATATGCATGCACATACACCACACACAGTCTCATTTTATATGGGTTATCATTGTTTACACAGGAAGATCATATTTGTTTTAGTCAGGACCCAATCAGGAAAAGAGAAATCACGCTAAGATAATTCAAGCAGAGGGAATTTAATGCAAGTTATTGGTTACACCAGTGATGAGAGAGCTAAGAAACCAAACATGGAACAGTGAGTCAGCTGAGAGATTCGCAAGAGTAGGGAACTGCTACCAGCCCTAGCTGGAAGTGCAAAAGAAGGAGGTAATGTTATCTCATCCCAGCAGCTGGGGTCACCTGGTAGACGTGGCAGCATGGCAAAGCTGTCCAGAGCCATGAAGAAATAGCACCCCTAAAGATGCAGCCTGAGGTGGATACCCTGGCTTCTCCCTTGCTTCTAACCCACAAATGACTCCCATTGGCTGAATTCAACTGTAGCCAACTGACACAGAAGCCTGGAAAACACATCCTTCAGGAGTCGGCCACCCTGCAGCACAGAGGAGAGCAGAAGGCTGCGGAATGGATCAGAGCGCCAACATGCCAATAACCACCATGGTGTTATACACACTTTCCTGTACCTGCTTTTCTCAATCACCATTACCTTGGGAAAATCCCAGCAAATCAACAGGTAACCATCTCATACATCCTTTTCATGGCTACTTAATTATGTATGTAACTATTCTGCTGTTAATGAGTATTCATGGTCTCATGTTCTTAAATGGGAATAATATTACCTTTCCTGCCCAGTCCCTCTAAATATAAGGTGCATCATGTAAATTAATGGAAGTGAAGCTACTTTATAAACTAGAAACCTCAGTATCAGAATGTAAGTTTATTTAAAAGTAGTATGTCACTGTGAGGTGGCATTCATGCTAATTGCTGAAAACCTGATGAAACCACAGTCAGGCTGTAAGTCATGACTGAATCAGGATAGACTCAAACTCTGGGCACCAGAGAAACGCTCACTGGCTTGTACTTACCCCCTCAGGGAAGGCAAGTCCTAAGACCTCCCTCCACACTCTCACCTTGTTCTGCTTTCCAAAATGCTGTTTCTTCATTTAGAATGAACAGTAAGTAACATCGGATTTATGCGTTGTAACAGCACTGTCCAACATAACTTGCTGTGATGACGGAAACATTTTACATTTGCACTGTTGGATACGGTAGCCACTAACCTCATGTGGCTATGAGTACCTGAAAGTGGTTAATATGACTAAGGAACTGAATTTTCCCCTTTATTTTACTTTAATTAATTCAAATTTAAATTATTGCACATGACTAGTGGCAACTGCATTCCATGGTGCAACTTTAGAGCCTCAAAAATCATTATCTCATGACAGTAATATTTCTTTTTCTTTTAATCAATAAAAAAGCAGGTTTTTATTTGCATATTTTGTTACATTTAAACCTAAGTATTTCATTTGGGGGGCTGCTAATGTAAATGGCACTGTGTTTTTAATTTTGAATTCCAATTGTTCATTGCTGGTATATAAGAAAGTGATTGAATGACTTTTATATATTAACCTAGTATCCTGCCATCCTGCTACAATTGCTTATTAGTTCCAGGATGTATTTTTATTAATTTTTTTTTAATTTTCTACAGAGACAATCACATCATCTGTGAACAATGACAATTTTATTTTTTCCTTCTCAATCTGTATATCTTTTTTATTTTTCCCTCTTCTCTTGTTGCATTAGCTAGGATTTGCAGCATGATGTTGAAAAGGAGGGGTGAGAGGGGACATCTTTGCCACATTCTTCATCTTAGTGGGAAACATCTAGTTTCTCACCATGGATTATAATCTTATCTGTACGTTTTCTGGACATGTTCCTCATAAAGTTTAGGAAGTTTCTCCAAAAGTCCAAGCACCAGATATTCTGATTCAGTAAATCTGGGGTGGAGTTAAGTGTACGTATCTGGAAAAATCTTCAGTTGACCCTCACATGTCACCCTGAGTAAGAAATATGTTTTTTTTTTTAACATGGGGTTTTTTGGAGGGGGATTATAACTTACAATATATTTTCATTTTCTCCCCAATTCTCATCAATTCTAGGGCAGTCATCTTACATTTTTTGGAGAGCTTAAGGTTTTAATTTGTTCTACTTTCAAGGCAAAATGTAAGTATTTTGTGCATTGTGGAATGTTAGCGTCTCTCTTTTAGAGTGTAGTATTTCTTACTCAGGGTGACATGTGAGGGTCAACTGAAGATTTTTTCCAGGTACAGATTCCTAACCCCACCTCAGATTTACTGAATCAGAACCTCAGGTGCTTGGACTTGAATGGTCTGTTAGGTGCCTTAAAGCTATAAATTCTCTATAAGAAGGAGAAGAAACAGAGAGAAGGTGCCTGCATTGTGTTACCTGGAAAGATTAATACATTAGCTTACCTACTGATTAGTGGAGATTAAAATTTCTTGGACTGACTTGTACTTATTATCTCGTATGGTCATCCAGCCGAGAACAAGACCCTACAGCAATGGAAAAAAGAAAAAGAAGCAGCAGGTTTTAATAGAGTAAAAGGCAGACAAGAAAGTCCCCAGAATTTGGCAATTCCTTCTGAAGCCTTTGTGTTTGGCATCGCTAGGCAGCCCAGGGTCAGCATAAAGGCACTAGAAAGAGAGGCATGTTGTCTACAACTTTTACCTACTTAAAATGTTTCCCAGGGTCACCTTGGCAGTTCAGAGGGCAACGCCAGGGGATCTGGAACTTAACAGGCTCACAGTGTGAAAAGGAAAGGTGGCCCATGCCAAGATGCATCGTGGCTAATTAAGCAGTCAGCTGCTCCCATTGCACAATGGGATGGCTAAGAGTGCTGCTGAAAGACAAATGATGAAGCAAAGCACTTATTAAATATCAACACAAAGTTGGAGGTGAGGTGTTAATTTTCAAGGCAATAGACAGTTGCCAAGACCTGTCACATAATTCTATTTCATATTAAACTTATTATAAGCAATAATATAATACTGTCAATGACTTACCTCTATTCCTCAACAGGAAAGAAATTAATGGTGAGCTAAAACATTTCTAGCCCTGAAGTTAGTACATGACTTGAGGGGATAAAATTAGAAAGGGAGAGATATGAAAAATGCAGAATGAATGCTGCTAATGGTATCCTGGGCCCGATTGTTCAATGTTGCTAAGAAAGCATTAGCATGCCCTGCTCTGCTCTGGGTTCTGCCTGCAGCAAGAAGGAAAACTTCTTAGACCTCATTACAATGCCTTTAATAAGTGCAAGTGTGGTTCAATGGAGCCTCACACACTCCACCTTCTCCCTTCCCCTTGGAGAAAGGGTATAACCTAATAAACAAATTAGGATTGACAGGAACTACAGTGGAAACCTGACATTTCAAAGATGAGCTGAGGGATTTGCACTTGTCAGGTTAAATTCTTCCTAACTCACTTCTTTTATTATATCATAAACTTCATTCCCTACCTACCTCCCAAACTGAAAACTTTGAAAGTGTTATCATTGCCTATAAGGAGAGCACATACTCTTCAGTCTGACTTCGAAGCCTTTACAAAATTGTCCAACCTAACCTTTCTATCTAATATTAATGAATTGTTCCCCTCTGAACCTTCACAGAATAATATAGATGGGAGAACATACTGGTGAGGTGACCAATGACAGGTTAACTCTTATGAGCTGCTTCCTTATCTGTGAAATGAATGGAGAATCAAGGATGTGATGGAATTGCCATGAACATGAAGTAAAGCTCCTGGCACAGTGTTGGCTTTATAACATGCAGGCTGTCTTCACCTTCCCACCCTAGCTCACCAGTCAGACTTGTCTTCTCATTATCTCTAAAACACCTAGCAAATTCCCACTTCCCTTTCTCTCATTCCTGTCCCCCTTCCCCTCCATCACCTCCAAGCTCCTGCTAGAATCTGCACAATCTCCATTTCCCAGTTGTTCACTTAGCCAATCCTACGGTCCAGGCCTGACGGTCCAGGCCTCTCTGCACCCTTCCAAAGTAAAGTCAGACTCAGTTTCTGCATTAAAAGAAGGACTTAAGGCAACTTAAATTTTTCTGTCCAACCCTAACATTTTATGACACAAAGAATACTTAGATTTTGCTTTGAAAGGAGAACAAATTAAGACCTCAAACTCTCCAATGAATATAAGATGACTGCCATAGAATTGATGAGAATCAGGGAGAAAAAGAAAATACATTGTAAGTTATAACCCCCTTCCCAAAAAGACCCACCATATTATGTAAAAGGTTGGTATTTTAAAGTCTTTCGTAACTTGGAGCTTGTTTCATGCCAGGTAAGGACTCTACCATGTGTGTATCTTAATCTTTCCTGCAAGGTAGTGTTAATCACCCGTAGTTTCCAGATGATCGGAATACTGAGGGTCAAACCACTCAGTTAGTAAGTGAAAATCTAGACTGTGAAATCTAGACCATGGACTATGGCTGTGGTCTTGTGTAGAAATCTGGAATCACCCTTTCCATGATGTTCAACTTCCACAAATCCACCTATTTATCCAGTGCTGTTATGTACAGGATTCTTGGTTAGATACTGGGAAAGATGGACACTTGTATATAAGATGTGCTTCCTCCTCTTAATAAGTTTAGAGTCTAGAAAGAAAAATGAGGCACTATGTAAATATAATATAGAGGAAAGTCTCAGGATGTATCTTATTGGCATAGTATTTGAAGAAAATCAGAGAAGTGGGGACTCCTTGGAATGAATATGATCAAAGAGCTCTGTCCAGTTACCTACCTTTTCCAAACTGCATCTACCCCGCTCTAGAGAAAAACACAAAGCTCTAAAAGCTCTGCAAACTCTTAAAAAATACCTCAGAAGCTTATTTTTTTATACTTCCTTCATGATCAACTTTTGGAAGTCTTGAAATCTCCTCCCTAGCAGTAATTCTTCTGTAATTTCTCATTGCAAATGTGCTGAAGACAGTATATAAAATCAAAGTGATAAAGTTGGATTTTGTGACATGAGATTGAAATGTAAAAGCTAATACTTCATCTTAAAATGACCATGATATAAAAGAGAAGATAAAACATTTTCTCCAAATGGACTAAAGAAATCCCTAGTCATATTAAAAATTACTTACGATTCTCTTTCTTGGCACTCAGAAAGTAAGATAGTAATAATTTTCCTCAGAACTCCTGAATTGATCATGCTTCCTTTGTGTCTGAAATCCATCTTTCAGAATCCGGTGTGATTCATCAGAGTCAAATATGAGCCACATTTACACACCAGCCTTACCCCTTAATAGTCCGACCTCTGCACAAGTAGCCCCGTGCATCAAAATTTTCCATAAGAGTAAATAGAAATTTTACACTTACTCTTCACCTTATTATGAAGCATATCTTTAAATTGACAAAACATTTGGGAGCTGGGCCAACCTGACAGCTTCAGTCACTTTGGAAAAGAATAGTAAAAATGTGTAATAATAAAAATAATAATAGGTTATGTTCATTGAACACTTTGTTATAAGCACTTTCCATGTTTTATGTTATTGAATAATGTTTTCCATCATTTAGTCCTCTTAAGTGACCCCATAATATCAGTAGTATTATTGCAACCACTACGCAAATAATGATTAACCACTAGCTGGACTAGTGGTTAATATGCCAATGTGACAGCGTGAATGAAGAGCCCTATCCACTCAAGTGAATCAAGCTAGGAAGAGGTTTCCTCTCCTACCTTCCACTCTCACCACCACCTCAACGACAGAAGTAATTTCATATTGGTACAATGTACACTATTCGGGTGATGGTTACACTAAAAGCCTAGACTTCACCACTACACAATTTATCCATGTAACACAATGGCACTTGTACCCCTAAATCCATAAAAATTGATGTTTCTCTTTAAATGAATCATTTTATAAATCTTCCTTTTTCCCAGGGGGTAAGGAAAAAGACAATAGGTGCTGATCTGGGTGAGGATGAATTTTTTGGGAACCCAGAGATGGAGAATGGCCATAAAGGAAATAGGCATGGTGGGGTGTGGGGTGTGGGGGAGTATGCACAAAGTATGTACACAACCAGACCTGCAGCAACAGTAGGTGCTCCAGCCAGTTCCTAGCATGGGGTGGGGAGGAAGGAGGTTTACTCACTTTGTCTGAATTGGCTTAGGATGAAGAGAAGCTCCAGAAAGATAGAAAGTAACAGCCTGTGATGGTGCCTAGAAATGATGGCCAAGTGTCTATTACTGTTGGTTAGCTAGTCAGACAGAAAGACATAGACAGAAATAAGCAGGCAGTAGGGTAAAAGCCAAAACTCGCCACCTCTTTCTCCTGAGTTTTTCTGTTGCTTGAACTCTCACGTGTGAGCACACATATTTCTTTACAGACTCCTTTGCACCCATTTTGCTTCTCCATCTCTTTCTTATCATCATGTGGTCTCTCTTTCTCCTGCACAACATGCCTCTCTTACCAGTGTGCCTCAATGCCCTGTAACTCAAACACTTAACGAAGTTTCCATTACTGTGGGAGAAATAAAGATGTAAGGGACTCAATCATTGCTTTTTTTTTTTTTCTTTGAGACAGAGTCTTGCTCTGTTGCCCAGGCTGGAGTACAGTGGTGCGATCTCGGCTTACTGCAAGCTCCGCCTCCCAGGTTCATGCCATTCTCCTGCCTCAGCCTCCTGAGTAGCTAGGACTACAGGTGCCTGCCACCACGCCTGGCTAATTTTTTTTTTTCTGTATTTTTAGTAGAAACAGGGTTTCACCATGTTAGCCAGGATGGTCTCGATCTCTTGACCTCGTGATCTGCCTGCCTCGGCCTCCCAAAGTGCTGGGGATTACAGGCGTGGGCCACTGCACCTGGCCAATCCTTGCTCTTAAAAGGCTTATAGTCTAGTGGGAGAAGCATTATAAGTCAAATATAGAGCAGTTGTGTGATGCATCACTATCTTCTCCAGAATTCTTTCTGTTGCAAGCAATTGAAACCCAACTCAACATGGTCTAAGGAGAATAAAGCAATGTATTGAGTTTCCTAGCTGGAAAAGGTAATGAGGTATCTCATGGGATAGAAGGATGAGCTGGAAGAACCAAGACTTTATAGACTAGAACTGGATCTCAAAATGAGCGGAATTCTATTCAGTCAACAAATATTCACTGAGCAGCTATTATGGGCCACACACTGTGCTAGGCACAGGAGAAACAATAGGATGCAAAATTGATGTTTCTTATCTTCCCTCCCCTTGCTTTCATACTGCAGATGACTTTCTCCATATGGCAGCAAAGATGCCTGCTGGAAGCTCCAGAGTCACAATTTGAATCAACAAACACAACAAAAATAGAGTTTCTTTCTCCCAACATCCATAAGTCAATTTCAGGGAAGACTTATTGGTTCACTTAAGTCATATGTTCAATACATGGCCTAATCAATATTCGGAGAGAATGAGGAGCTCTGATCAGCTCAGCTGGGTCACATGCCCTCCCCTGTGTTCATGAGATGACAATCCCTCTGAGTGAATATAAGTGTGAGATGAATCCCAAAGAAAAGGTACAGGGCAATCCTCTGGCTGTTTCTCTCCCCTTTCTTGTTTGTAATTCTCAAGAATAATTATAGAATGTGCTGGGAATACAGTATCCTAAGACAGGGAGAAACTGCCTGAAACAGCTCGGGTCTTGCTCCTGTTGCTTTTAGAGATTGTAACGTCTTGAGTTAGGGGGTAAGAGCTGGGCCTTGTTTCTCTCTCCTCTAGAAGCAGGATGTCCTTCAAACTTTAGCCTAGTGAATCAAGTACACCCTGAGTTACATAACCAGGGTGGGCTAACTTTTAGGATCCCTAATCTGTGGTTCAAGTGAAATTGAGACTCAATCTGTCCCAGGGAAACTTTCTGAGCCCTGGGGGACTGGCTCACAATGAATCCTAGGATTCTGTTTTCTCTTGCTTCACATCTGTAACTAATAATTCCCCTTCATATAACTTGTCACATGTGACTATATTTTGTCTCACCAGACTCAGAGAAGTTGGAAACTCATGCACAGTGAATTTGCTTCACAAAGGGATGCAGTAACTTGAAGCAGAAAAGTAATAAGGAGCAAAAACCAACACAGACATCAAGAGTAATGCTTAGGGTTGGGCACGGCGGCTTATGCCTGTAATCTCAGCACTTTAGGAGGCTGAGGCGGGCGGATCACCTGAGGTCAGAAGTTCGAGACCATGCTTGCCAACATGGTGAAACCCAATCTCGACTAAACATACAAAAATTAGCCAGGCATGGTGGTGCATGCCTGTAATCCCAGCTACTGGGAAGGCTGAGGCAGGAGAATCACTTGAACCCAGGAGGCAGAGGTTGCAGTGGGCCAAGATTGCACCACTACATTCCAGCCTGGGCGACAGAGCATGACCCATTACCCTATCTAAAAAAAAAAAAAAAAAAAAAAAAAGCTATGCTTAGGACAAACCGTTATGAGAGTTTAGATGAGGGAGTAGGTTGGGAAGATAAGGAATAGCTTCATAAGAAGAGGTATCTTGGCATATATGTCATCTCTGTCCAGTGGTTTAGGTTTCCTAATGCACTGTGGTAGGTGAAATAACATTTTCTCAAAGATGTTTATACCCTAATCCCTGGAACCTATGAGTACGTTGTGTTATGTTGCAAAAGAACTTTGCTGATGTAAAGTTATGGACCTTAAGATGACGAAATTCTCCTGGACTATATAGGTAGACCCAGTATAACCACGTGAGCCCTTAAAAGCAGATAATTTTTTCTGGCTGAAACCAAAGAGATGTGTCAGAAGAGGAAAGTGGAATGATTCCAAGCATGAGAAGGAGTCGATGTCCATTGCTGGCTCTGAGGCGTAGCAGCGTGGAAGGACTAGAGGTCTCTAGAAGCTAAGAGCAGCCACCAGTTCCAGAAAGTTCCAGAAATGCAGGAACTAATAGCTTATGATGGTGCCTAGAGATTATAGCCAGGTGCCCCATTGCTGTGGGTTAAATCAAAGTTTGGAAAACTGCAGGCTGAATTCAGCCCACCACCTGTATTTGTAGATCCCAAGAGCTAAGTATGGCTTTTTACACTTTAAAATAATTTTTAAAAGCAAAAGATGAATAATATTTTATATGTGAAAATTACATAAAATTCTAATGCCAGTGCCCATAAATAAAGTTCTGTTGGAACACAACCACCTGCATTCATTTACATATTGTCTATGGCTATATTTGGCTGCCATGGCAGAGTTCAGTAGTTGGTATTTGAGAGCAGAGGGTTTGGGTCTAGAAAGGGTATCATGTGAAAATGTTTGACCTATTGAGGAAAACACTAAAGGAAGAGGTGAATACTAGCTCAAGCATTTTTTAAATCTGTGATATGAAACAGAGACCACAGCTACAGAAACCTAGAATGTGAGAAGTGGAAAGGCTATATAGCCTAACTCGGGCCTGGGAAAGACATTTCCAGTGGCCTGAGAGAATCCAGGTCTCTGGATTCTAGCCTGTGTTCTTTGCACGGTGCTACAAGCTCCACGCTGGTGTTTCCCATTAAGCTCCTGAATCTGTCCCAGGGCCTTGTAGTTAGAGAGGGAGGCAGGGCCATTGTCTTGGCTGAATTCCATCAGCCACAGCCATCTATGTCAGGCTGACCCAGCAACTTGCCTTCCTAGGGCTAGCTTGGGTAGTCCCCTTGGTCATTCAGTTCATCGCAGACAAAAACAATGCTGAACATCTATGCAATGCTTTTTCTAATTAACCCACAAATTCCCTTTCCAAGCACTTCTGGGAGGTCAGGCAAGATGATGATGATTCTATAGGTTAGTATTTACCATTAACACTGCACTACACACTGAAATCAGATGGTCTCTCTCTTACTCAATTTTCCCTTTAGAATAAGCAAGGTTACATCATTCACCCACAAAAAGTCAATGTCCCAGCCAGTAATTTTGAAAAGGAGAATTCATTACGAGAATCAAAGAAGAAGCAAGGCCAAAAAGCACTTGATCTGGGGAGGCAGAATCGTGCCCTAAGAAGTGCAGTAGACTTCAACCTTAGTGAAAATCCCACTTCTTTTATTAACAGGGCACCTCATTTTTCTAAGCCTGCAGTATGGGGGATAAAGCCTGTATCCCAAGTAGAGAGAATGGATAAGACAATGTGTCTGTGACTCCCAGACACTGCTCAAGGAAGGATTCACTAGACATTAGTTGTACCTAAAATGAAGTAGGTGGGCATAAGGAACCCGGGGAACACTAGAGACTCAAGGGATAAAAAGGGAACCTAGTAATGCATGCTCCCCTACCCCTGCCTCACCATCAACTACACCAGGAGTTGTTCTCTTGTGCCAAGTTGTTGCCTCCTCCCTCCCAGCCCTTAGGACATAAGAGAGGGATAATTGGAAAGGATGCACCAGCGAAGTAGACAGCATACCAATGAATGAGTCAGAAGGGCTAACAGGCTTAATTCTTGTAGGGTTAAATGCAAATCATTCATGCAACCTGGTAAATTGCTCAAACCATGTAGTGGAGTGCCGCTTTGCTGGGGAGAAATAAAAGTTCTGAACCATAACCCAAGTTTCAGAGGAAAAAGTGGCTTCTAGACACTTCAAGAGAAGGAAGGCTGGCCACGTGGACACATTCCCTGGGCATTCAGATACTAGAGACTGCATGAGGCAGGCATGGAACAAGAGGAAACCAGACACCAAGAAAGAGGGCTTGGAATAAGCAAGTGAAACAACACAAGGAAACTAGGGCTTGATTTGTCATTCTGCAAAGAACACTGGTGACCATCTTGTGCAGCATTGCACTGATGCTCACAATGGTTTACATGTTGACCTTGAACCCCAAGATGCCCAGCGGAAGCTGCAGTGAGGTTACTGCTAGACTTAGAAGTGCATGCGGTTTCAAACAGGAAGACCTGGTTTTGACTACTGTTTCCATCTCTTGCTGGTTTCGTGACCCTGGGAATGTCACAGTCCTTTCTTTAGACCTTGATATCTTCACTTATAAAATGAAGGTTAGACCAGGTAAACTCAAACCTTTCTTTAGGCTCTGGTTCTAAGAGGAAAGGGCATATGACTAGGGAAAAAAAAGCTTCCCTCCCACATAGAGTTTGCTGCATTCCTTGTTTATATTTTTCTGGGGCAGGGAACATGGTTCTGTAAAATTCTCACTGAGTTGAGAGAATGATGATGTACATGAGTCTCGATGGCCAAGGAGCTCAGGTTATTACTTCAGTCCACAGACACTCTGCACTGTAGCCATCTCTTCAGATCTATAGCAAAAGAAGACTGTGTTTGCTTCAGCTGCTTTGGAGTCAGGAGGAGGGAGATGGCCAACTCCATTGTCTTGCAGCTCTCAATGCATCTGTGTCCCTGTGTTTCTCTAACATATCTTCACCATACTTGCCAATTTTCATGCCTTTTAGCATGTGTTCTTGGTTCCTGGACTGTTTCATGTCCCAGCTGGTGTTCTTTTCTCCCACAAGCTGCCTCAGAAAACATGGCCCTGCTGTCTGTCCACCCACCTCCCTCAAAGCTACTTTCTTTCCCCAAATGGTGCCATGCCACTGAGTCCAGAGAAGTTGTCATTCCAGTGTTACTGAGGGCCAGAGAGTATGGAGCCAATTCTAGGTCTCCGTGTCTCCCATTGATTGCACACACACACCAGAAGATGAGTGCACACAGACTCTGCTTCTGCCTTTTCTCTGTCTTTAACATCTCTTTTCATCTGGATTCTTCTTCAAAATGAATGCAGTCTGGTTGTAAAACCAAAGAGAGGGATTGGATATCTCCCTCCTGTATAAATGATAAAACAATGCATTAACTCCTCACAAATTTGTGATGTGCCTACTATGTGTCAGGCATTGGACTGGCTGAGATGAATGCAGTGAAGAATCAGGAACGGCCCAGAGAAGATTAAAAGCCAAATCACTGACCAGTGAGGCATCCCAAAGCTGTTCCTTCAAGGGAGTTAGCCAATGCATTCAAGTGAATGATCTTTTCAAGGAAGCCTTGTCAACAGTTCAGGTCTACTGCTGTCGGAATTGGAAACACTTTTCTCCATAACATTCCCAGTAAGGTTCCCTGTTCTGTCCATCACTCGGATGTAGGGAGAGGTGTGTCATATGGTGTCGGTGTGGAAAGAGTACTGGATGGGGTTAACAGCCCTGGAGCTTAGGCCCAGCTCTGACATTTAACTAGCTTATACATTCACTGAGGTGTTTGACCTAAGGTAAGTTCTCTCACTGTGAACTATCCAATGTAGGAAGATTGGAGCCCATTGTTTTCAGTGTCCCCTTGAGCTCTAAAATGCTCTCATTCTATTACCTGCTGCCTGAAATTCATTAAGAAAGGCATAGTTTGAGACCTGTAGGAAGGAGAAATGATGTGGGGAAAGGTTCTTACAGGGGAAGAGGACCCAAGAGATGGTGTGTGGTATTTGTAGGGGCCAAGTGACTGAGGCTCCCTGTGAAGAGGGATTGGGATGCAGACACAGATCAATTCAGCCAGCAGGGAAATCCTGCCTGGGCAGTTAGATTGACATTATGAATGACTTCATCTTGCCCCATGAAAAGCCTAATGAGCATAGGGCTTTTTGAAGCACAGCAGACCCGATCATGAAGGGTGTGTGTTCATGCATGCATGTGTTTACATGTGTGTGTGTGCATGTGTGGGCACACATGTGCACTTCTCCCTGCCTGTGTTTAAGCACAGGCTTCCACCTCACATCTGAGTGTCAACCATTCATCATTTTAACAATCTTCTTTTTGCTTTCTAAATGTCCTCCAGCCTCAGCTACTTTTATTTCTTCCCTCTTTCCTTTTTTCCTCCTTCCTTTTTCTCCCTTCCTTTCTCTCACTCTCTCTTGTGAATACATGGTTTAAAAAAAAAAAAAAATTAAACAGCATGGCTGGGTGCGGTGGCTCATGCCTGTAATCCCAGCACTTTGGGAGGCTGAGGCGGGTGGATTATGAGCTCAGGAGATGGAGACCATCCTGGCTAATATGGTGAAACCCCATTTCTACCAAAAATATAAAAAATTAGCCGGGCGTGGTGGCAGGCACCTTTAGTCTCAGCTACTTGGGAGGCTGAGGCAGGAGAATGGCATGAACCCGGGAGGTGGAGGTTGCAGTGAGCCAAGATCGCACCGCTGCACTCCAGCCTGGGCGACAGAGTGAGACTCCGTCTCAAAAAAAAAAAAAAAAAAAAATTAAACAACACAAAACAGCGTAAAGTGAAAAGGCTCCCTCTCTTTCCTTCCGCTGGCCCCTAGTTCTCCAGTTCCCTCTTCAGACACAATCGCCATTACCAGTTTTTGGCAAACTTTCAAGGATATTATCTGCCCAGACCTGCATGTATTTATTCATAAAGCCCTTTTATACAAAGGTTCTGCCTCCTAATTTTCCCAAGTTTTGTTCATTTACAGTACAACTGTACCTCATTTTATACAATACATGCACTCAGAAAGCTGTATAAATACAATTTTTTAGTTATTAAAGAAGAAAAAAAAAGATGCACTAAAGAATAAGGTAATTGATTTTTTTTAATCCTTGTGCTAATAATTATTTCTTCTCACCCCTCTACCATTGAATCAGTTGTGTGTGTACTTTGGTATTGGGGTTTTCTTAAAACTGAGCACTCCTGCATTTTAATTGTTCTCATGGTTAAAAAACATTGCTCTCAACTCAAAAAAATACATTATGACTTTTCAGACTATTGTGCATTTTATAGTTTTCCATAATGAGCCAAGCAAGCCTATTAGTATTCAAACCCCAGCAGGGTAGTGGCGCCCCAGAAAAGTGCACTGCAAGTGACCTAGATGAGAGGATCAAGTTGAAACTGTATCACATAACTGCCAGCAAGATGTTCACAAGTAGCGAGCAAGGAGCTAATCGATGCTGAGCACTGCCTTAAGCGGTGCGAGAAATTCAAGAAGTTCAGGTACTTACACCTTAGGTAAAGACAAATCTTGAATCGAGCTGAAGAAAAATCATAAAACAGATTGAAATTACCTGCCAAAATTATGCATAATTGTGCCAGGCTTCAAGCATCATTGGAATTCTGAGAAGGCAGACAGAGGAGGTCAGTGTGACCAGTGGGATCGGAAAGGCTTGCTGGAGAAGCTGAGGCTGAGTGGGCCTTAAAGGATGAGTGGAGCTGAATCAAGGGGGAACAGGGGTGTGTTAATTTCCTAGGACTGCTGTAACAAAGTACCACAGACTAACCGGCCTAACATAACAGAAGTTTATCCTCTCGCCTTCAGGAGGCTCAAATCTAGTATCCTGGTGTCAGCAGGGCGGTGCTGCCTCTGAAACTTGCAGGGGTGAATCCTTCCTTGCATCACCCCAGTCTCTGCCTCTGTCCTCATATGACCATCTTCTTGTGTATCTCTGGGTCATCACGTGGACTTCCCTCTTACAAGGACACCAGTCATATTGGATTGGGGCCACCTTCCCTGGGATAACTTCACCTTAACTTACCTAATTGCAGCTTTAGTGACTCTATCTCCACATAAGCTCACATTCTGGGGTACTGGGGATTAGGACTTCAACCTATGTTTTGGTGGAAACAATTCAATCCATAACAAGTAGCAAGGATTTTCCACATGGCTCTGTTTCCAGTCTGCCTCACCCTCTGCCCTCACCCTGGGTAAATTCAGTGCCCAAGGACCTCACGTCTCCTTCAGCAACCCATTCACACAGCCTCACTACAGAATGAATATCTTATCCCGCCAGAACTTCTATTTCTGCAAAATAGAAAACTCTGCGATCATCTTGTCTGAGCCCAGTTTCCTGCCCTTCTACTTTGCCTTCTTCCCTTCTCCCTCCCTCCTCATAGTCCCAGTCCACCAGCTCCTTTTCCTCATCTGCTCCCCACTGTCTGGATTCACAATCCTCTCCAACCACCTCAGACCACACTAAGTCACCTGCGCTCTCACCAATGATATCAACATCCTTGCCCTCTTGACAGCTCAACTTGCACAAGGCCTGCCTCTTGCAACCATGGATCTATAGTGCAGTGGAAAACCAGGAAAAGGCCTAGATACTTCTCTAGAAGAAAAAAAAAAAGTTAAGTTCAATCTTAGCTGTATGTTAGCATGCACATTCTCATTCCCATTCGTTTCTATTCCCCGTTTCCCACATGAACTCCCATACTCTCCCCACCCTTCCCAAGTCCAAATCTTATCTGCATTTTCTTCCTTCCCTCTGGAAATGACATTGTCCTCTATTACAAGCAGCAAATTGAGGTCCTCAAATATAAACTTGTTTAACCTCCTCCTGCTATGGCTCAAAATGTATGCCTAGCTTTTCTCCCATGCCCATCCCTCCTCTAGAGTTCCATGGCACTTTCATAAGGAGAAGGGAACTCCTATTTATTGAATCCCCTCTCAAGTTCCAGGCATTAGGCTAGGAGTTTGCATATATTATTTCATTTATGTTTCTGCTGTGACACTGACATTGTTCTATCTTTGCTTGTTTACCCTTCTATGTGACCCTCCAACTACAAGCTTCTTGGGAAAATCTCTTGGCCTCTTTACTCATTATGCATTATTTCATGTAATCCTCTAAAACTTTAAGAACCAAGCGGAGAACTGCTATTATCTCTAAGTTACAGATGAGGCAAGAGAGGCTCACTGAGGGTAAGTCACTAGACCAACCTTATACTGCTTGGAAGTAGGGGAGCAGGACATAGGCAGAGATACTTCTATTTACAAAGCCTGTGTGCGAAGGACCAGATCGCATTGAATGAACTGAAGGGCACAGCACCAAGCCAGGCCTAGACAAGAGGGAAAATGAAAGCCTGCTCCTACTTCCTCCATCAGACGCCTCTCTTCTCTTTCACCGGGAGCTGCTCCCAGAGTCTGGAGTGAAAAACATCTGAAAATTATTCAATTTCCGTAGGCATCCTCGCATCCATTAGTTCAACAGATATTTAATGAGTACTCTGTATGTGTCAAACTCTGTGCTCAAAGCTGTGAACACAATTATGACCAAAGCAAATCTGACTCCCTTTCTGCCCCCAAGAACCTTGCAGGCTAAGGACCCTCTCCAGAAATGAACATAAAGATGAACGGGGGCCATTCCTAGCCCAGCGCACAGCCTGTCCACAGCCTTTCCATTTCATCCAGGACATTCAGGCCTGAGAGCAGGGATGCATTCCCTCCTCCAGGGAGCCCTGGGGAAAAGGAGAAAGAAGCAGGCTGCACTGTAGTTTTCTCTTGTCATCCCTAAAGGGAAATGACAGGCAGGGCTTCTTCCCGTCACTGGATTTAGATATCTCAGCTAGAGCTCAGACTGTTCCCAATGTGCATGAGGAAGCAGAATCCCACACCAGCCCTGACTGCAGCTGTTCGCCTGTCCCCACTGCCCAGGTATATAGAATATGTGTGTGTATCTCCCAGTAAGCTTCTGCTTGTGCAGTGTTTCTCCACTTCAGCACTATTGATGTTTGGATTGAATAACTGCTGTCCTGTGCATTGTACGATGTTTAGAAGCATCCCTGGCCTCTACCTACTAGATGCCAATAGCAACATCACCAGCCCCCATCCCAGTTATGACAACCAAAAATGTCTCCAGATATTACCAAATATTCCTTTGGTGGGGAGGGGCGAGGAGTGGAAATCAGCCCCAACAGACAACTATTGCTCTAGTGCATTGAAAATTGCTTGGATGATCTCCCAGAGACCAACTGGGGATGCACATTACCTGAATGCCACAGAGAGGCCACTCTAAGGAGGACGACCCTGTGCAGCCAGGAATCTCCCGCAGCAGAAGGCTGCAGAGGTGACCGCCGCAGCTAGGATCCACAGCTCAGATTCAATACGTCCAACCCCACCTGGAAACTCAGGGAAGGCCTACCTGTGCCTGGGAGCCGCAGGGCATTTGTAGCAGGGCCCACAACAGGATAAGTTATAGGATATTCCTGCTGAGGTCTCTGATCTGAATGGTTGAAACTTGTATCTTATTTCCAAGGCATTTCCTGCTAGCTACCTCGTTTGCAATCACTTCCTGGAATGCTTTTGTTAAAGTATTGTCTTTTTTTCTCATGCCTTCTCCTTTAAAATGTGAACCTCCCCAGGAGAGCGCAGTATATCATGGACATTTTATATTGTATTAGCCGATAAATCACCAGATCCTGTGAAAATCAGACACATGTCAGACAGCTTTGACTGGAAGTTTTCTAGATCTCCCAGAGCTTCTCAACAGGTGGCTTTTCAGCCATATCTTTTATGTGCCAGGGTGAAAACTGGCTGAATTTGAGTGTATTATTATTATTATTTTATAATTATAATAATAATTATATTATTATTTGACAAGGAGTCTTGCTCTGTCACCCAGGCTGGAGGGCAGTGGCACAATCTCGGCTCACTGCAACCTCTGCCTCCCAAGTTCAGGTGATTCTCCTGTCTCGCCTCCTGAGTAGCTGGGACTACAGGTGTTCACCACCACGTCTGGTTAATTTTTATATTTTTAGTAGAGATGAGGCTTTGCCATGTTGGCCAGGCTGGTCTCTGACCTCAAGTGATCTGCTCGCCTCAGCCTCCCAAAGTGCTGGGGTTACAGGTGTGAGCCACCGCACCCAGCCAAGTGTATCAATTTACGGGGAGTTTTCCTGATTCTGTTATGCAACCCATCACAACCCAGAACATCTTAACTAGTGTAATGGTACTGAATCAGAAAACACCTCTTCCTTTCCATGACCCTCCATTTCCAGGAGGGTCCTCAATGGGCACCTCGGTACTGTGGTGGAAAATAAGGGCTAGTGCTATGGAGCAGAGAAGGATGGAGGTAGGGAATATGGGGACCCCTGCCAATTTGACTTTTCCCACCTGCTTGGGTGAGGACCTGTGGAGACTGACCTGCTCTATTTATTTCTTAAGGAGAAATCATTCTATTGGTATTTACTGAGAATTTACTTTGTGCCAGACCCAGAAGGGTTGATTTGCACTCTCTTTCCTTGCAGGCCTCGTTCTAAGGTGGAAGTGGTCCCACTGGCTCCCCAGTAATGGCTGGAGAATGTGCCATTGGAAGCATGTTGCCAAGAAATAAAGTCATGTATCCTGCTCAAAATCAGTTCAGTTCCAACCAATTATAATATGTGGATTTGAAGCTGAGACAATGGTGTACAGGAAGGCCCAAGAAATCCAGATGTGACTGGCTGTCACCCAGAGTTTTTGACTAGATAGACAGAAGAGAAGATCCAGAAAACTTCTTTGGGCTTCTTTTCAGCAGACCCAGAGATCTGGGCTGGGAACACGCACTCATGCCAACCCCACCCTAGAACCAAAACCACTGGGAAGCTGAAGTGCACCCCTTGTGGGTCTCCTGGACAGGGAAACTAACCCATCTGAGTTAACACCCCACTTTCTGTGATAGATTCTCTGCTTCTACATGGCTGCAGATGCCCTGAAAATGGCTTGGCCATTGGTATAGGCACATTCCAGTGTTTCTTCAAGTGTGGTTGTCTTGGTCCATTTAAGTTGCTGCAACAGAATACCATAGACTGCGTGGCTTATAAACAACAGAAATTCATTTCCCATGGTTCTGAAGGCTGGGAAGTCCAAGATTAGTCACAGCAGATTCAGTGTCCAGTGAAGCCTTCCAGGTTCAGACATAGCCATCTTCTCACTGTGTTGTCACACGATAGAAGGGGTGAGGGGGCTATCTGGGGTCTCTTTTATAAGGCCACTAATCCCACCACTAGTCTAATTAGACTAATCTTGGGTCTCATTGATGAAGGCTCCACCCTCATGACCTAATCACTTCCCAAAGGCCTAGGTTTCAACAGAGGGATTTTGGGGGGACATAAACACTTAGTCTCTAGTAACGGTACTTGCTATGGTTTGAATGATGGTTGTTCTCTCCAAAATTCATATTGGAACTTAATACCATTGCAACAGTATTAAGAGGTGTGGCTTTTGAGAAGCAATTAAGTCATGAGGGCTCCCGGCTCATGAATGAGATTTGCACCCTTATAAAATAACTCAATGGACTGGGCGCAATGGCTCACACTTGTAATTCCAGCACCTTGGGAAGCCGAGGCGGGTGGATCACTTGAGGTCAGGAGTTTGTGACCAGCTGGCCAAGACGGTGAAACCCCATCTCTACTAAAAATACAAAAACAAAAACAAAAAAAATAAAAATAAATAGTTGGGCGTGGTGGCTCATGCCTGTAGTCCCAGCTATTCAGGAGGCTGAGGCACGAGAATTGCTTGAACCCAGGAGGCAGAGATTGCAGTGAGCCGAGATTGTGCCACTGCACTCCAGCCTGGGCAACAGAGTGAGACTCAGTCTCAAAACAAAACAAAAACTCAAAGTTAAACAGGGCCCTTCTCTTTTGCCCTTTTATCCCTCCTACCATGTGAGAAGCCAGCATTTGTCCTTTCTGGGATGCAGCAACAAGGCATCCTCTTGGAAGCAGAGAGCAACCCTCACCAGACACCAAACCTACTGGCATCTTGATCTCAGACTTCCAAGTCTCCAGAACCATGAAAATAAATATTGATTGTTTATAAATTGCCCAGTTCGTGGTATTTTGTTATAACAGCAAAAAAGGACTAAGACAGGACTTCAACCACCTGCATCAAAATCAACTGTGGAGTGTGTTTAAAATGTACATTAAAAATGCAGCCCCACTTTAGACCTAATAAATAAGAATCTCATAAGGATAGGGACCAAGTCTCTGACTTTTGTTAGGCACACTGATTAAGGAATCATTGACAAGGTGAAAAGAATGCAGACTTTTAAGCCAATTGACCTACATTCAAACCCTAGCCCTGCAACTTCTAGACTGTGTGGCCCTAGGAAAGTTATTTAACCTCTTCTTCATTTCTAAAGTGGAGAGTAATAAAACTACCTAATAGCATTTGGGATAAGAATCAATATGGCCGGGCGTGGTGGCTTACGCCTCTAATCCCAGTACTTTGGGAGGCCAAGGCGGGCGGATCACGAGGTCAGGAGATCGAGACCTTCCTGGCTAACACAGTGAAACCCTGTCTCTATTAAAAAATACAAAAAATTTGCTGGGCGTGGTGGCGGGCCCCTGTAGTCCCAGCTACTCAGGAGGCTGAGGCAGGAGAATGGCGTGAACTCGGGAGGCAGAGCTTGCAGTGAGCCGAGATGGTGCCACTGCACTCCAGTCTGGGTGACAGAGTGAGACTCCGTCTCAAAAAAAAAAAAAAAAAAAAAAAAAAAAAAAAAAAAAGAATCAATATGATAATGTGTTAAAAAATACAAGCTCCGTGCATTGTTTGTGCTTTCATAGTAAGTGCTCAATAATAGTACGCTGCTATTATTTTCACAATAATTTTGTGGAATTTAGTCAAATGATCCAATGAACTGTGAGTCCTCAAACCTGCTGAATCTTTCTGGAACCCTCCAGCTACGCCCTTGCTGCAGATTGCAACAGCCAAAAACAAGAGATATGTGTTATCCTGGATCATTGTTACTCTCCAGTGGAACCTCCCAGGCAGGCTCTTCCCAGCCCAGAGGACCTAACAGAACTATACTCCCACCAGACCTCTGAGAATGGCAGGCAGGCAGAGTGCTGCTAACCCATCTGCTCTTTTTTAAACCTTCAGACACCATGACTTCTAAAGACCCTGATCTCAGCAGCACAGACATCACCCAGAACCGGCCTTACCCATCATACCACTGCACTAGGCTGGCACCTACAATGCAGCTGACAGGCACAGTGTGATAAGTAAGCTATTTTCTGAGTCTGCACAAGAAATGTTTCATATTCCAGAGCTCATACAAATGGAAGAGTCTGCTAAACAGCAGTGTCAGAGAGTTATGCATAAGAGCATTATGCGTTTCACAAGGAAATTATTTTTAAAAGCTTTTCCACTGACAGTTTCTTCAAAGGGAGACAACTGTTCCCTTTGAAAGTTCCTATTTTCTAACATAGATAAGCAGCTTAGGCCTGCTTAGGGGATGACTAAGTGCTCCTTTACACTCTTATTTCTACCCTGGATTATTTCAAACCCCAGGCCTCACAGGAAATCAAGTCCCAAGCTTTGGGATTAGGCAGGAGGTCTCTTGATCCCCAAGTTCTGAGCTGTAAGAAAAAGACTCCAGTTTAAAGGGGAGAGGTTCCTCCAGTTAGGTATTTTGGGGACTAACCTTCCTTATTTCATAATCCCCTCAACAATCACAGTCCTAATTCATCCAAGGACCTGCAAATGTTAGGTCCTATAAGAAGACAGCCCATTGAGGATCTTAAAGACAAGTGCAAACTCACTGAGATGTCTCAGGAATGGTTACACAAGGGACTTTATCTGTGTTTTTTGTTTTTGTTTCTTAATTTGGGTGATGAGCACATAAGTACCCAATGTTTTATCCTTTACAAATTTTTATACATCTGAAATATTTTCGTAGGATAATCTTTCCTGATATGCAATGAATATGCCTGGAAGACATCTTCTGGACAGTCCCTAACCAATCTGTGTACCATCCAGCCTCTGACATGGATTCTTTCAGCTCCTTCCCCTTGGTCATCCTAGCACGTGGTTGCTATGACCCTCTAGCGGACAACATCATTTAAGAGCAGGGACCTTTGAATTTCCAGCACATTGCGTAAGGCTGAACACCTGATAAGGCTATAAGTTGACAATTTTGCTCATTAAATTGTGGCCTTTCCCCCTCTAAGAACCTCGCTTTTAGAACTACAACTATTTCCCTCTCTTTCCCCAAATGAACCTACTGTATGACGGCCAAGGCCATTTCAGTGAACACACAGTTGTATAACAGTGTGTTGGGATCTCAAAATTGATAATATAGTTCATATAAGTTATATGCATATGCACTTATATTTCATTAAATCAGCTTGATGTGAGTTTAAAGCATAACTAGTTTCCCAAAACTCATGCTGTTCTCATACCAGTTATCTCTCTGGTTCTTCCTTTAGCCTAGACCCTTGGGTTATTTTCTTTCTTTCATGGTCATCTTGAGGTAGAAGGTGGAACTCAACTCAGGAGGTGACACTCAACTTCAGAGGCAGGACTTGGACACTGGAGCAAAGTGAGGACTAGCTAAAACAGGGACAGGGCAGAAGTAGCTTTCCATAAGACATGCCCACCAGTGTGCCATGGCAATTTACCATTTCCATGACAACACCCAGAAGTTGCCATCCCTTTCCATGGCAATGACCCAACAACCTGGAAGTTAGCACCCTTTCTGGAAATTTCTGCATCTGCCCCTTAATTTGCATATAATTAAAAGTGAGTATAAATATGACTGCAAAACTGCCTTTTAGCTGCTACTCTGGGAGCACTGCCTACGGGGTAGCCCTGCTCCATAAGGAGCAGTACCTCTGCCGATGCTGTACACTGCCACTTCAATAAAAGTTGCCAACACCACCAGCTCGCCCTTGAATTCTTTCCTGGGTGAAGCCAAGAACACTCCCGGGCTAAGCTCCAATTTTGGGGCTCGCCTGCTCTGCATCAATCTTACTTCCATCTTCCATGTGAAGATGTACTCAGAGAAATGTTCTGACTTTCTCCTGTTCGTGGTTTATTACACTCTCCTGGCTTCCCTGAGCAGCCAGTCTCCACCAGCAATTCTCGAATTCCTCTTGGCCCTCCTTTTCTCTCCTCCTCTCTTCCCAGCCCCAGCACCCTTGGGAAGCCCAGATCCCTCACAGCTTTGTTCACCAGTGTCACCTTCCAGGCCTCCCCACTCCACACCCTTCCTACTCCTGTGTCTTCCCTCATCCAGAACCAGAGGCCCACCTCTGAGCTTTCAACCCCTAGTAACTTTTCTCCTTGTGCTTTCCTTTATCCACATGGGAGCATAAATGAGCTAAGCCAGGTTTTTGTAGGCAAGAGCCTGCTCTGGCCTTCAGAGGTGCCCTTGCACACGAAGCAACGATGCCACCACTGGCCAGGTGCAATCAGTGAAAATCCATAAGAGCAATGTTCTTTCCCTCTGACTTATGCTGTGTTTAAAATGAGGAAAGGGAGGAGGTACAGTGGTCTTGCTGGAAACCCAAGATCTCATCAACTTATGACGTTCACCTTGTATACAAGGGTCCCTAAGCCTGCAGGCACCACAAGGGAAGATGGGTAAGGCTGCTTAAATAACAGTCCACCAGAACCAACTGCTGCTCCTCTCTGATCCACAGGCTTTGTTGCAAGGTCTAGATTACTCTACAGAAAGTTTCTCCCTTTACAGTCAAATTTCTCCAGGAGACACCGTTTTCCTTCTTCCCATGATGCTTGCCCAGTGGTCCTACCCCTCCATACCCGCATTATTCCTCTTCCACAACCAATGGAAGGGATTCAGTTTATCTTCAGCCCAATTGCGAGCAGTGTTTATGTTGTTGTGGTCAGTGTTGTTGCCATCGTTGTTTATCCTGGAGGCAACACCACAAATGTAAATGCCTCTCAATGAACTCTCAATTCCCAGGACTCCAGCCAAAGCAGAGCTGTCCCCCAAATCTCACGTCATCTAAGTAAATAGGTTTTCTGCTACAGAGTAGATTAAAATCAACTTCAGAAATTAATACCCTTAATCATCCAACTCTCATTTGACCCTAGTTTGGGTAGTATTCTTGGAGGACCAGGAATCAGAGCAAATTATTTTTTGGAGATAAATTCACTGGTAGCATTGTCCAGTTTTGAGCTAGAGTGTCTCACATTTGATCATTTTTCATCCCAAGGAGATACCGCAATCTCAGTAAGAGCTTAACTCAATTGCATTGCATCCTCCTCCTCCTCCAAGCAAGTGCATTTCTCAAGGCCAGATGCCCATTACTAACACTGACTCCACATGGGAACACATCCACCCCACAAGCAATAATCATTATTTCCTTCCCTAAGAGCTGTGTCACTGTCAGACTGATCTTTGGTTAGGCATCACCAAGACTTAAGAACCAGAAGCAAAATCCCAACAGAAAAAGTTCAGTATCTGAATAAACAATAACTGTATAACTGAAAAACTGTTCAAATAGTTGGAACAAGTTTATTGCTGAGTTATGCAAGGCAGAAGGAAAAAAGACTACAGGCTTATTTCTTCATTACTAAATTCATTTATAAAATGCTGAACATTAAAAAATATGTATGTTATTCATTGATTAAAGATATGAATTCAACCAAAGTTCTATTTGCAGAATTTGGAAATTAGGATTTTTTATGATATGAGAGGTAATAAAGGTTAATGCCAGCAGTTACCTTAAGGAATCAGTATTTGGGTGGCAAGAGAAGGAAGGAGTGGGGGATGTCTGGTATCTTTGTCTCAGTGCTTAGAAGCTGATTACCAGATGAAGATTTATTAAGAAAGTTCTCCCAGGGAAAATCAGTAAGGAGGTAGACGCGAACATTTATCTACCAACTGTAGATGACTTCAAGTGCAGTTTTTTTAAAAAATGTGTCTAAGAGCCTTGCTACACTAAATGTGTTCCTTGACTAACAACATTGGTGACACCTACAAGATTGTTCAAAATGCAGAATCTGGGATTCTACTCTAGGCCTTCTGAAGCAGAATCTGCATTTTGCAAAGTTCTCCAGGCAGTTAGAATGTACATTAAATTTTGGAAAGCACTGCCTTATAGAAAGCTAGATACAGTGGGAAATAGCCATATCAGGTAGCTAGTGACATAATACCAATTGTGAAAATTCAGACAGATGAGCTGACAAATTCCCAAAAATAGCAAATTAAGCCCTTTGACAAATTAGTTATTGGATCATACAGAAATAGCCCAAATCTGCAAATTTTGGATTAAAATTGTGACCCTATTTTTAAAAAGAGAAAGCTAGTAGATACAGCTACAGTCTAAAAAGAACAGAGATGAACGTCTACTGCCAGAGACAGCCATTAGTCAATTGATATGTACACATCTTGTTTAAACTTCTGTTGTGAATAATAAATAATTACCTGTTAAAAATTTATTTCTCCTAGTAAATAATGAGCTCTGAGAGACCAGAGACAGTGATATGTGAGCTATTTCATAAAATCTTCCAACACATGTCTACATAGTTGAGGTTCAGTAAACATTTGTATGTGAGTGTCATTTCTTGATAAGACTATAAAACCAGTGAAAATGAGTATTTCAAAAATTAAACAATATGTACTTAAGCAATGACACTAACAGTTAATTTCTTCACCAAACTCTCGTGAGATATCTACCATGTTGCGAGCATGTGTCAGGTGCTATGCATTCAAAGACAAATAAGATGCCAACTGGCCTGGGGGGGAGGGGACAAGAGTTTAGTTAGGAGATAGATACATCTGCAGGGAGTCTCAGTATCATGTGGTAAGATCTGTGATGTATGAATGGAGTTTGAAAGCAAATTTAAGGGACTCCAAACTCAAACTGTGGCAGAGGGGTAGAAATCAGAGAAGTAACTCTGACCTCAGACATGCAGGATTAAAATACGACTAGGAACACAAAAAGCAATCGGAGGAAGGTATTTTAGGTAGATGGAACAGCATGAGCAGAGAAAATCTACAGCTCATATACCGAACTAGGAGTACTTCAGAATAGTTGGACTGTGTATGTGTGATAGGGACTGGCATGAAATAAGCTGATGAGAGAGGCAGGAGCCAGACATACAGGGCATTATATGTTGGGATGGAAGCTGGTGATCATCATACTCCCCATTTGGGACCAAGGTGCTGGGAGTGTTGGCTCCTGTTGGCTACAGCTGGGTCCCTCTGTGAGCATTAATTGCTTCATCCAAAGGGAGCCAAACCCAAGATTAAGGCCTCTTCTCAGGAGGCAGTCCCACAACCAGTGACTGGTGGGTGACTACAAAAGTTTTTGCCCATTGCTTTAATGCTAGATAACTGTGAAGGGTCAACTCAGTCCACCAGCTCCCTGTGGGATCAGCTGAGGCCTCTATTGCAACTACTGCTTTGCAATTCATTCAATTCACTGCCCAATTCTGCTTCCTCCCTTATTGATTTCATGCTCGAGAACAGTCCCCATCTCAGCATATGCTTCCTGGGGAATTTAATCTGACACTATTGTTATTAGCAATGATCCTAGGAAGCAAACTTTAAAATGAGATTTTGGAGCTGGATCACCCACCAGCTGGCTGAAAATGAGAACCCCATCCATGTTTATAGGGTGAGTACTGATAACCTCTGCCACGGCGTAGTGGTGCAATCGTTAGAACTCTGACTGGTAGTAACCCGGGATACAGTGCCAGTGGAAAGAAATACATGAAAAGAGTGCTGAGAGAAATAATATCTCAGGTTCAGCTCAATTTACGGGCTTGAATTTTATCCCACAGACAGTGAGAAACCACTGAAGAATTGTTTTAAATCATCTTCTTAATGGTTGAATGAAGAATGGATTCAGAGAAAGCTTGAGGCTAAAAAATAAATTATAATATTATTATAGTACTAGAAGCTAGAAATGAACCGCAAGGGATAGTGGCCTCTCCTGGAGATAATTACACTAAGTCTTGATTGCCATTGCTAGGCCAGAAAGGACGAGGGAGGGAAGAAAAGTTACTAGAACCCAGAGACAGACAGGGCTGTGTGAAAAGGACTGCCTGGCAAACACCTTTGATTAAGGGGCACAGCTGGCATGTAGTAAGCCCACAGAAACAGAGCTAGGGCCATAAATACTCCAACATCATTCTCTTCACTCCCTACAAGCTCCTGGTGCTTGCCATGGGCTAAGCCCACATGAAACCCAGAGGGCACAGAGACCTGTTGATACTGTCCATAGAGGCCAGCCACCCAAAGCTCAAAGTAGAGAGAAGGGTGAGAGTGGATTTGGGAAAACAAATGAAGGATACTCGGCACTCCTATATGCAAAATAGAGGCCAAAACACACAAAAGAAAGGAACCCAGAGGAAACAGAGGCAATACACAAAGAGAAAGAAACCATCATTATTATCTTCCTAGAGGTAAGTGAAGACATTGGATGCATGAAACAAGAAAACAGTACAATTTTTAAAAACTCAGAAAACAAAAAGCTCTTAGAACTCAAATTTTGTAATCATCAGAGGCCAGGAAGGGTAGCAGGGAGGGAAAAAAATATGAATGTATTTATTATTACTGAACTGTATACTTAAAAATGGTAAATATAGTAAATTATATGTGTATAATTTAACCTCAATTTAAAAAGTTTTTAAATGAAGTTAAATTTTGATGGCAAAAATAAAAATTAAGTAGAAAGACTAAAGAATAAAGTTGCCACAGTTATCCAGAAATTAGTGAAAAGACAAAGTGATAGAAAACAGAAAAGAGAAAATTAAGGACATATCCAGAAGTCCCAAAATTTGAATAACAGAGGTTGTATAAAGATAGAACAGAGAAATGGAAAGGAGAAAATCATTAAGAAAATAATTCAAGAAAATTTCCCGGAACTGAAAGGCATAGATTATCCCATCAAAAAAGCCCACTGAATTTCCAACACAGTGGATGAAAGTAAACTGACTTCAAAGCACCAAGAATGAAAAAAAAAGATTCTACATGTTTTTTGGGGGAAAAAAGCAAGTTACATGCAAAGTCTAAGAGATGAACATGGCTCCAGGCTTTTCAACAGCAACATCAGAAACAATGCCTTCAAAATTATGAAGGAAAATCATTTCCAACTTAGAATTCTCTACCCAGCTAAATTATTAATCAAATATAAAGGAAAAATAAAAATATTTATATATATGAAATGTCTTAGAAATTTAACCCCTCATGTGCTCTTTCTCAAGATATGCTTAGATGGTGGCGATAGAGAGCCACAGAGTAAATTAAAACATTAGCAAATGCAGCAAAGAAAGAAATGAAGAGAATTCCCAGGAAGACAGGGAAGAAACACCCCAGAATGACTGCTGTGAATCAGACAGAGAGGGCAACAAGAGCAGATTAGAGCAGAGTAATTCAAGACATTGACAACACTAGCATGCCCCCTGTCATTGTATCATTGTGTTGACCTAAGAACAGAATGCCTGGGAGACTCTGGTCCAGATTCTAATCTGTACCTGTTTTATCCTGATCAAGTGCTAATGAAGCCCTCATTCTCCTCACATACCTATTGCATGGACCAGCTTAGGACACTCATTTTGTTCTACAGAAAAGTTCAGCTTTGACCTACCCCTAAGAGCTTAAAACAGGCCATGGTAATCTTTGAAGAAGAAAATACACAGCAGCCCACTTCCCATGCCTGTAATCCTGCTGGACATATAGTACCTGGCCTACGTGGGAGCCCTGCCAAATACTTCAACGAGGTAAGCCTGTGTTTCCAAGAATCTCTTGTGACTTTGCTCATTGACTGTCCTAGAAAGAATACCTGGCAACTCTTAGTCTCAGAGAATCTAAGACTCTTCAGTCTATCTTCTACTGAGAGCACTCATCTACTACATTCTGTTTGCACAATTGTATTTGTTCTTGCTACCAATTGTTTCAAAACTTAATAATGTATCTTTTAATAATACCTAACCAAGTGGCAAAATTATAAATAAAAGCAAGAGAATGATTAAAACAGAAATCTAGACAGTGGTTACCACCGGTTGGAGGAAAAGGGAAGATACACTAGTAAAGGGGAATTTCTAATTAGTGTAATAATTAAAAGAGTGTAATTGGATTGTTTGTAATACAAAGGATAAATGCTTGAGGGAATGGATACCTCATTCTCCATGATGTGATTATTCCATAGTGTATGGCTATATCAAAACATCTCATGTACCCCATAAATGTATACACCTACTATGTACCCACAAAAATTAAAAATAAAAATTTAAATAAATTAGTGTAATATATTTCTTAACATGAGTTTTAGATTATTTTTTAAATTGTACATATACATTGTACATTTTATATGATATTCTGTAAGTTTGGAACATTGAACAATAAATGAAAATTTAAAAAGAAAGGAAATGAAATCAAGAAATTTTAAATAGATGAAAACAGTAAGTGAGATCAGGCAGCAGATGAAGTCAGGGAGAATTCAAAGATGAAGTTTTGGCCATGGGACACAACTGTTAAGAGTAAGTCTGAAAATAAATACAAAGAAAATTATATACATTGAGATGGCAGCCCTATAGAAATTCAGGAAGAGGATATACAGTAGGCAATAGAAATACATGGGTGTGGAACTCAGCAGAGGAACCTGGGCTGAGAGAGTAGCTCTGGCAGAGTTAGGATATAGTTGGCAGTTGAAGCTATGACACTAGATGAGATTGCTTAAGAAGCATCTCAAATGAGAAGACAAAGAACACAGAGAACATAAAGATTTAAGATGTAATCAGAGAAAGACTTGGATTTCAAGTTCCTAGAGTTGAAAGTGGAGGTTAACAATTTAGTGATGGATCTGTCCTGCTTAGTGTCAGGCCTCTGAGCCCAGGCCAGGCCATTGCATCCCCTGTAACTTGCACGTATACATCCAGATGGCCTAAAGTAACTGAAGATCCACAAAAGTAAAAACAGCCTTAACTGATGACATTCCACCATTGTGATTTGTTTCTGCCCCACCCTAACTGATCAATGTACTTTGTAATCTCCCCCACCCTTAAGAAGGTTCTTTGTAATTCTCCCCACCCTTGAGAATGTACTTTGTGAGATCCACCCCTGCCCACCAGAGAACCCCCTTTGACTGTAATTTTCCATTACCTTCCCAAATGCTATAAAACGGCCCCACCCCTATCTCCCTTTGCTGACTCTCTTTTCGGACTCAGCCCGCCTGCACCCAGGTGAAATAAACAGCCATGTTGCTCACACAAAGCCTGTTTGGTGGTCTCTTCACATGGATGCGCATGAAACTTAGAACATTAGTTTTCATCTGATTTCTTTTTCTCAGAATATCTGCCAGTACATTTGTCCTCTGGGTCTTGGAAAGCTATGACCAATTGGTATGTAGGATGGAGAAAAACATGATAAACCAGGTCCTGGACCCTCTTCCTAAAGGTGTGATGATTCCAAATGTCTTGAGAAGTTCAACGAGAAGCCCACTAGTAGCAAATAAGTACCAGGCACAGGACCAAATGGGAAGATAAAATTCAGAGTTAAAATGAGCAAAGGTCAAGAAGAGAAAGCATACAGCCGGTGTCCAAGCAGACAGATTGAGTTGAGGATATCAACAAAAACAAGGAGTAAGCCTGCATTGACTTCATACTAAAATCAGCCAAAGAAAGACATTACAAGGAATATGAAACTGCACACCAATATACTCATAAACATAGAAACAAAAATCTTTAACAAAATATAGCAAATTAAATATATACATAAAGTATAACACAGCATGGCTGTACTAGGCATCTCCAGAGAAACTGGCCAGTAGAATATATACAGATATATAAGACGAGCTTTATTATGGGAACTGGCTCATGTGATTACAGTGGCCAAAAAGTCCCATGATGCACCATCTGCAAGCTGCAGAACCGTGAAAGCCAATGGTATAACTCAGCCTGGGTCTGAAGGCCTGAGAACCAGGGAAATCAATAGTGTAATTTCCAGTCCAAGGCCAAAGGTCTGAGAACCCAGGGCCAGAGGGGTCATGGGTTGGCAGGGTAGGGAGCAGCCACCTGTGTAAGTCCTGGAGTCTAAAGGCTCAAGAACCAGAAACTCAGATGTCTAAAGGCAGGAGAAGATGGATGTCCCAGCTCAAAAAAAAAAAAAAAAAAAAAAAGGGAGAGAGAGAAAATTTGTGCTTCCTCTGTATTTTTGTTCTATTTGGGCCCTTAATGGATTAGATGATGCCAGCCTACACTGGTGAGGGCAGATCTTCTTTGCTTGGTCCATTGATTCAAATGTTAATCTGTTCTGAAATACCCTCACAGACACATCCAGAAATAATGTTTTTCCAGAGCTGTCTGGATATCCCTTGGGCCTATCAAGTTGACACTAAAATGAACTATTACAATGGCCAAAAAGAGTTTATGAATGGAAACTGTCAGGCCTCTGAGCCCAAGCTAAGCCATCGCATCCCCTGTGACTTGCACGTATATATACGACCAGATGGCCTGAAGTAACTGAAGAATCACAAAAGAAGTAAAAATACCCTGCCCCACCTTAACTGATGACATTCCACCACAAAAGAAGTGAAAATGGCCGGTCCTTGTCTTAAGTGATGACATTACCTTGTGAAAGTCCTTTTCCTGGCTCATCCTGGCTCAAAAAGCTCCCCCACTGAACACCTTGCGACCCCCACTCCTGCCCGCCAGAGAACAACCCCTTTGACTGTAATTTTCCTTTACCTACCCAAATCCTATAAAACTGCCCCACCCCATCTCCCTTCGCTGACTCTCTTTTCAGACTCAGCCCACCTGCCCCCAGGTGATTAAAAAGCTTTATTGCTCACACAAAGCCTGTTTGGTGGTCTTTCACACGTATGCACATGAAATAAACAATAGTGATTTGAATTCAAAAATCAATCAATGAAATTCACCATATTCAAAAGACTAAAAGGGAAAAGTAATATGTCTTCTCAATAGATGCAGAAAAACTTTGGTGAAATTCAACACCCATTTACAGCAAAACACACATATACACATACACCCCCCTCAGCAAATTAGCAACTTGACAAATGGCATCTACCAAAAAAAAATGTACAGCCAACATTATATTTTGTGATAAAAAGCTCAACACTTTTTGTTTGCTAAGATAGCAAACAAGGCAAGGATGTCCACTCTCACCACTTCTGTCCCACATTATACTGGAGACCTTAGGCAGTACAATAAGGAAAGAAACAGAAAAAGACGTATACAGATTAGAAGGAATGAATTAAAAGTATTTGCAAGCATCATGATCATATACACAGAAATTCCTAGAAAGTCTACAAAAAGATCTAAAAGTGAGCTTAGCAAAGTCTCAGGATACAAGGCCAATATACAAAAGTTAATGTATTCAATATACTAGCAATAACCAATTAAAAATTGAAATTTTAAAACATACCATATATAGTATCATGCAAAAACATTTAAAAATTAAGAATAAATTTAGCAAAATATATACAAGACGTGTAACTGAAACCAATAAAACATTGCTGGAAGAAACTAAAAAGACTTAAATAAATGGAGATTCATGCCATACATAGGGATTGGAAGACTCCATATGTTAAGACATCAATTCTCCTCAAATTAATCTACAGATTTAATCATATCTCAATCAAAATTCTAGCAGCATTTTATAGAAATTGGCAAATACTCTAAAATGGAAATGCAAATGCAAAAACCGTGAATATCAAAATAACTTTTAAGGAAAAAAAGGTTAGGAGACCAGGTACATTATCTGATATGACAACTTATTATAAACCTAGTATGCAAGATAGTGTGGTATTGTGGGGGTGGGGAAGATTTACAAATCAATAGAGCAGAAAAGTGTCCATAAATAGAACGACAAATACATGGTAACTTGGTTTTCAACAAGGGTGCCAGGGAAATTCAATGAAGAGAAAGGATAGTGTTTTCAATAGCTGGAGCTGAAGCAATTAGATATCCATATGGATAAAATAAACCTTGACCCTTACCTCGTACTATATGCAAAAGTTGATTAAAAATATATCATAGGTCTAAACATAGAAAATAAAACTTCTATTAAAAAAATAGGAGAAATCTTTGTGATGACCTTGAGGGAAGCCAAGATTTTTAATATAGAACACAAAAAGCATAAATCATAAAAAGAAAAAAAGACAAATTGGACTTTAAACTCTTGTTTACTGAAAAATACTGCTGAAAAAATGAAAACGTAAAGCACAGGCTGGGAGAAAATATTTACAATTTACATACATGGCAAAGGACTTGTATCCAAAATATATAAAGAACACTACAACTCAATAAGTCAAACAATACAATTTCAAAATGAGCAAAAGACACTTTACAAAATAAGCTATTTGAATGACCAATGAGCACATAAGAAGATGCTCATTATCAACAGTTACCTGGAAATGCAAATTAAAACCACAATGAAATATCTCTGCACATCCACTAGAATGATTAAAAGTGAAAGGACTAATAATACTAAGTGTTGGTGTCCATATGAATCAACTAGAATTCTCATGCATTACAGGCAGGAGTGTAAAACAGGACAACCATTTCAGAAAGTTTGGCAGTTTCTCATAAATGTAAATATATACATATTACGTGATCTAACAATTCCCATTCCAAGGTATTTGCCAAAGGGAAATGAAAATATATGTCCATGCAATGACTTACACATATGTTCATAACAGCTTTATTCATAACAGCCAAAAATCACTGTGAACAATTGACCATTTCAAATCTGAATGTATTATTTTCACTAACAAAGGGATAAAATCAATATGTTTTCCTTGTAATTCTGATTCCTTAGAGAAGTCCAGCTATCTTGTGCAGGATCTGGATTTTATGAATTAAAAAAAAAATTAAAAATACATTAATAAAAATTTTTTTAAATTTAGCCATCTCTAATTTCTTGCAGGATAAAGAAACTCTTTGAAGACAAACATTACACCTTATTTAGTTTTATATCCTTCATACCTAGTTTAGTGCCTGGCACAGAGTAAATGCTAAACAAATGTTTCTTGGTCATGATACAATTTAGCACTATTTTAGGTCCTTCAAAGGACATAATATTACTTTATCACAATGTTAGTATGATTTAAAACAGACATATTTTCCCTTTATCCTATGTCAGGGGCTCTATAGGAAGCTCTCAGCAGCCACATCTTCCATACGGGTTGAAGTTGGCCTTGCTATAGTAGCTCTGGCCCCAGGGGTCAAGATGAAGTCAGTCTTTCCTCTTCTAATTGCCCTTGGCTAAATCTGGGCAGTCATAATTGAGGAAAATATTAAGCATTATAATTCCAAAATCAAGAGCGTTCTAGATCAAGTTTTAAAAGTAACTGGCCGGGCGCAGTGGCTCATACCTGTAATGCCAGCACTTTGGGAGGCCAAGACTGGCGGATCACCTGAGGTTGGGAGTTTGAGACCAGCATAGCCAACATGGCGAAACCCTGTCTCTACTAAGAATACAAAAAGTAGCTGGCTGTGGTGGCACACACATGTAATCCCAGCTACTTGGGAGGCTGAAGTAGGAGAATCGCTTGAACCCGGGAGGCGGAGGTTGCAGTGAGCCGAGATTGCACCACTGCACTCCAGCCTGGGAGACAGAGTGAGACTCCATCTCAGAAAAAAAAGGAAACTGTAAGGTCAATTCTTTCCTCTGATTTAAGAAACATTTTACTGCTGGTATAGGGTGCCTCATGAAATGAGAAAAAAAAAAAAAAAAAAAAAAAAAGAATTTGTTTCCTAGCTCCTCCTAGTCATATCATTAACGTCAAATTCAGCCTGATTGAATATGTAGTATAACTTGGGTGTGATTCCAGACTTAATTTCCAGCCATTATTAGGTAGTTAAACATTATAAACTTAAAATGGCAACAGGAATTCTATTTCGATCTGGCTTTACATCATGATTGTCAACTTCATCTAAACTCAAGAAAATCAAAAGTACATTCTAAGCAGGGTGCAAAACAAAAAAAAAATAATATTTAGAAAAAAATTATGTTCACATAAACACCAGAGCTGTTTCACACCTTTGTTTCCTATCAAGAAGTGGTTTGGAATGTCAGCAGGTAAACACATTTAATTGTTTCATCCATTGCAACTAAGAGAGTCATCCCTTAATCATAGCTGTTCTTGTAAAGGCAATAAAAGTGCCAAAGTTCAAAAAAATGTTTTAAGATAAGATACATGCTCAAAATTCCCCTGGGAAGATTAGAGGTCATTATCAAAATAAAAATGAGCTATAGTTTTCCCAGAGCAATCGCTACATTGTTTATTCCTTTCACTTTCTGGTCTCTTTTATCATAATTGCTGTTCCTTGCCTTTGAGAGGATGTTGGTGCAGGGCAAAAAAACTCCAAAGAGCCTAGAAGTTCTTCCCTGCAGATTTTGCAAGTTTTAGTCACTTGTTTCTCAAATAATTACATCTTATAAAAGACACAGCCATCTTAACTTTCTGGAGGTTAGCTGAAAAGTTACAGGCACACTTAATTGCTACAGGAAAAATGCTTTGGAAGAAAGATGTGTAGACTGTATTTTGATATATCACACTGGGTTCCACTCTGAGCTCTGCCTCTTATTGTATGACCTTGGCCAGATGGCTTAGCCTCACTGAGCCTCAGTTTCCTTCTCCATAAAAATATTGTTGTTAGGATTAAGATCTAGGTAAAGTAATGATCTGTGCCACAGTTGACTCTTAACAAAAGTACCTATAAAAGGATGAGAATGACTGATATGATCTCTGCCCTTCCATGAGCTTATATTCCTTCAAAGATCCTGGAGAACTGTTATTTAATGGGATGGTAGGGAAAGATCAGTAAATATTTAGGTCTCTGGGTTTGAAAAAAATATATTAAATGCCCATTTAATCAATCAACAAATTTCCAGGCATATATTCATTTGCATGTATGTCCTTCCAATTGGACAGTAATCCTTAAGGGAACTTTTGTCTTTGTGACCCCAATACCTGGCATCCAGGAGGTCTCAATAAAGATTTCCTAAAATAAGTAAGTCTGACACTGCCTGAGACTCAGTGCAGAAAAAGAAGGCTAAAAATAGTTCTTCGTCCTCCAGGAATCAATAGTCTAGAGTTGGAAAGGGCAAAACAAGTGTGGACTGGACCAGGCTGGAAAGACTTTGCAGATTTTCTCAGCATGGATTACCTGCAGAAGCATCCTTGGGGGCCTAGTGTGGAACATGAGAGTCTCACTGAAAAGTGCAGTTACCACCCAATACTGACTCTTTGGGACTGAGGCTCCTGAACGCAGCAGATACGTGAGGAAGCTTTAAAAACACTGACCTAGAGAACCACAGAATGAGCCAAATAAAACCTCAAGCCTTTCTTAGCCAAGCACTTTATTTTTCAGGTGAGGATGTGAAGACCTAGAAAGATGAAACGATTTCCCTGGGGTCACACAGAAAATTTAGACCTCAAGACCCTTGACTTCGAGTTTTTGCTATTTTTGCTATTCTGTGGAGACTTTTCTCTGTTCAGGAAAACTCCTGCGATGAACTGCATTTCTGCAGCCTGGCTCCTCCACCCGGTCCAGGAGCCACTTCGGATGATTTGGTAACTCCACGTCCACGGCTGCTTTTTCAAGACACTTTTTTCCTTGGCATTGGCGTCAGCATTTTCGGTCCATCTATGGGAAAAATGCTAGTGATATTCCCATGTTAATAATTTCAGCTACAAGAAATAAAACAGCGGATTGAGTATTGCTTCTTTACTTTAGGGAAAAAAAGTGTCTCCGTGTTTTGATTTATTCTGTTTCGTTTTGCGCGCGCACACACACACACACACACACACACACGACATCCTGCCAGCCTGCCTCTCCCTAAACCATTCATGCACTTTTACTGTTGGTCTTTGTTCCTGCTCTCTCCTTGGCCTCTCTCTAACAGTCTTCCCTAACTCCCACTCCACCTGTTTCTTCCTCTACTCAACCATCAAGGTTTCATTTAAGGATTACTCCAGTCATAACAAACAGTTCTTTTCTCCAAGACCCCAGACTCCAGATGTGCAGCCTCTGCCTCTGTGTTATTTCTCAGATCCTTTACTCCAATGCTGTTCAAGCCACCTTCTAGATGGCCAACCTCCAGGAAGCAGGAACAAGATACATCCTTTTATTTATTTTTTGTTTTTTGGTTTTTTTTTTAGTTTTCCACTAAAAATCACAGAATAATATTGATAAAAAAGAAAAGTCACAGGCTTGGAGAAATTATTTACAGTTTACATATATGGCAAAGGACTTGTAGCCATAATATATAAAGAATGCTACCATTCAATAATAAGAAGTCAAACAATAGGATTTTGAAATGGAAAGGGTACACAGCTGCTAGCATTAGAGCTGGGGTTCAAGGCAGGTACATTGGGTTCCCAAGCTCCTGCTGTCCTCCCAGCCTCTCTGCTCTGCTGCATGGGCCTCCCTGTTCTTGATGCCCTCTCCTGCCTCAATCTACTCCATCCTGCCTACCTCCCAAACCTGAATAAAAGTTTGATAAATAAAGAGAGAAACAAAAAATCCTTTCCTATTTGTATACTTCACGATATTTAGGGCCAGGCGCAGTGGCTCACACCTGTAATCCCTGCACCTTGGGAGGCCGACTTGAGGTCAGCAGCTTGAGACCAGTTTGGCCAACATGATGAAACCCCATCTCTATTAAAAATACAAAAATTATCCCGGCATGGTGGCGCACACCTATAGTCCCAGCTACTCTGGTGGCTGAGGCAGGAGAATCGTTTGAACCTGGGAGGCTGAGGTTGCAGTGAGATGAGATCATGCCACTGCACTCCAGCCTGGGCAACAGAGTGAGACTCTGTCTCAAAAAAAAATTTATATATATATATATATATATATATATATATATGGAATTAAGTAAATTATATATTAATAATTACATGAGTGAAGGAATAGTTAAAGGGCAATAAGAGAATTCAACTAAAAAATATGTCTATTATTACTTTAGGAAATAATACTTGTGAGCTTTTTTTAAAGTAAGATAATAAATTTTTAAGAAAGGTTAACCAGGTCAACAGAGCAGCCAGGATTTCAGGCCCTTAGGCAGAGCCTCCGTGATGCCACAGGGTGAAGAGGAAGAATGCAGGAGGACCACCTGAAAACACCAGACAGCTGGACGGCTGTGACTCCGCAGCATTAGGGAAATAGACAGCTGGACGGCTGTGGCTCCACAGCATTAGGGAAATAGACAGCTGGACGGCTGTGGCTCCACAGCATTAGGGAAATAGACAGCTGGACGGCTGTGGCTCCACAGCATTAGGGAAATAGACAGCTGGACGGCTGTGGCTCCACAGCATTAGGGAAATAGACAGCTGGATGGCTGTGGCTCCACAGCATTGGGGAAATAGACAGCTGGACAGCTGTGGCTCCGCAGCATTAGGGAAGAAGAGGTGGTGGCAAGGAGATGGCTGTGGTAATTTTTATTTCATATTATATAGGTCAGTGCTTTGAGAACACTTTCATTCAATATTTTTATCCCCACATATTTTCGAACAAAGTTTAAGGACTCTGGAAGTCATATCACAAAGAAGAGGCATGCAGAACATGGCAAGAATACTATAGTTTTCATTTGTGTCCGTGTATGTAGGAAAGATTAAGAAAAAAGTGCACAAATGGGCACTTGGCATAGAAAGAATTTTTACAAAGACCTGGGCGTTAGAGGAAAGGCAACAGCATCCAAAAATAATCCTCTATACCTATAATCACTACAAATAATAAGTGGTAGCTGTGAAAATCTTCCATCAGAAGTAGAGTCATTAATGCCTATAAAAGAGATGAGAAGCATCTGGAGATTTGGGTAGAAGCTGAAGACAAATAGCCTCCCTGAAAAGCTCAGGTGATCACAAATAATTCACTTAACAAATATTTATTAAGCATCAAATGAGTTTAAGGCACCAAAGATGAAATACTAATGGAGCTTATAGAGCTTATAAGGGAAATAAGACATTTTCATACATACTGTATTACAACTCAAAACTGTTGAATAAGCAAACACTATGTCCTAGAATTCCTCTAGATACTAAAATCAGATTCATTAAAAAAGACAGTCCCTGTCCCCAAAGCACTGACACTCCAGATAGGGAGACAAGCAATGCATATAAAATGATGTGCAAACCATATAAAACATTTTAAGCAAATATCTTAATCAAATAGTACAGCAAGTAAATGCTCTCTGAATTTTGAAAATGAAGACTTATAGTCTAAGATGATGGGGTTTAGGGAGGTTGGGAATAGATGAAGCTAAGAAACTGAGGTAATCCTTGAAAGGTGACTAGAATTAGGATACAAGGAATGACAGGGTGAGGGAACTCAGAGTCAAAAACACAACACACAGAGAAGACAATCAAGAGAGTGACTTGAAGATGAAGAGTCTGCTCATGATTGAGTCATAAAAGTTACATTTCGGCTGGGCACGGTGGCTCATGCCTGTAATCCCAACACTTTGGGAGGCTGAGGCGGGCGGATCACGAAGTCAGGAGATCGAGACCATCCTGGCTAACAAGGTGAAACCTACTAAAAATACAAAAAATTAGCCGAGCGTGGTGGTGAGCGCCTGTAGTTGCAGCTACTCGGGAGGCTGAGGCAGTAGAATGGCATGAACCTGGGAGGCGGAGCTTGCAGTGAGCCGAGATCGAGCCGCTGCACTCCAGCCAGGGTGACAGAGCGAGACTCCGACTCAAAAAAAAAAAAAAAAAAAAAAAAGTTACATTTCGAGAGAGGATGAGGAAAGATTTTTTGAGTGTCTTGAATCCTGTTCCAGAACTATGTGTTCTCAAAATGTGTTTGTCAGGCACATTGGCATGTGGCATTACATCAACCATGTACAAAACCAAGTTGATCCACTTAACCCTAAGGGTAGGTCCTACCACCACAGAAATGACCACAACCTAGGTTTCCTGCCAAGCCTCTCTTCCCCAAGCTAGGAATGCAATTCCTTCATCTAATTCCAAGAGCTCAAGATTCCAAGGACACAATAATTAACACAGAGCAGAGGAAAATACAAAACTTAAACATCAGCAGGGTAGATGCTGAAATCCTGAGCAGCTGTGTCACAGTGTGCTTAGAAGTAACTCATTAAAGCATCTTTTTTCTCAGCTATTCTTAGTGGTTCTATGCAACTTTGAAAATTGGATCTCTCTGCCTCCTTTTTCACAATTTTACAATACAGAGAAGAAAAACACTCAACTCTTTTGCAAACTGAAAAAGGAATATGCTTACATTTCTTCCCATTCCACAATAACTCAGAGGCAGCTAATGAGATTTTCTTTCCTTCCTTGTGCTCCCAGAAGCCATCCATTCTCTACCAGACAGGGTCTAGCCACAAAAATTCCCAAAAAATTTACAGTTTTTCAGACAGCTAGGAGAGGGATGAAAATGGTTTAGTAATGGGAGTTGCCATAAAACTTATAATTACAGAATTTGCTACAGTGAATACCATAATGGAATGTTTGTTTAAATCAAATAACCATTGACTCTCTCTGAAGATGAATGATTATTCTATATCCCATTTTCCCCAAATGTACTAAGAGAGCATTTTTACACAACAATGGTTCTTCTATCTTTCTTTGCCACACCAGTGGGAATGGCTACAGCAAGTCACCTCCCCTTTACTCAGGAACCCCATGCAAACAGCTAAGCCTAGCAGTGGCCAGCAATATAACTAATCCATTCTCATAAGACCTTCAAGATGAGCAGACATGTCATCTAACAGACACAGCAAGGGCAGGCCAAGGAAAAAACCACTCTAGCCCTGTGTGACCTTGATATAATCTACCTTTGTCAGCCTTAGTTTTTGCATCTGTAAAGTCAAGGGGTTGACTTACTGCATCTCTAAGATCTGAATCCTCTAACATTCCATGATTTTAAATCAGAAGGAAAACTAGGCTTAGAATAACTAATTGGTACTAGGCTTACTACCTAGTGGTGATGAAATAATCTGTATAACAAATCCCCATGACCCAAGTTTACCTACGTAACAAACCTGCACATGGACCCCTGAACTTAAAGGTTAAAAAAAAGAAAGAAAACTAGTCTCAGGATTAAGCTCATACTCACGTCCTCAACAAAGCAGGCTCCACATAATTTATCCCCTGAAGAACCTGCACCAAATTCCTTGATGAAGAAGTTCATGAAGGAGGCAGAAGGATTTTCCTCTCAAAATCTCTCCTTTTCCTTCTCTTGCTTATTCTATATTCTAGCTGGTGTTGGGAATGCACTTTGCAGCTTGAAGCCATTTATGAAAAGAGTAAGAATCATTTTCATTCTCCTTCCTATTGTTGGCCAAGTATGAATTGTCCCCACAGGACAAGGGGAATCGAGAGGATTAATTAATCTTTCTGAAGTGCTTTGAAGAAGAGGAATGCCATGCATAGTACTAAGCAGAATTACTACTAGGCCCATTTTCACACCAAAGAAAAGCCCCAGAATAAGAACACATTTCAAGATTTAAAATAACAGGCCAGGTGTGGTGGCCCATGCCTGTAATCCCAGCACTTTGGGAGACGGAGGTGGGCAGACCACCTGAGGTCAAGAGTTCCAGACCAGGGTGGTCGACATGACAAAAGCCCATCTCTACTAAAAAATAGAGAAATTAGCCAGATGTGGAGTGTGCCTGCAATCCCAGCTACTCAGGAGGCTGAGGCACGAGAATTGCTTGAACCCAGGAGGCAGAGGTTGCAGTAAAGCAAGATCGCTCCACTGCACTCCAGCCTGGGTGACAGAGTGAGACTCTTGTTTCAGGGGAAAAAAAAAAAAAAGATTTAAAAAACAGTACAGTAAACAAAAGCAGGGAGTCGGGGAAGTCAGAGTGGGGTGATTCTATTTTGCTTTGTTTGGAAAGCAGGGAAACCCAACAAAGGAAAACAGGACATTAATCAAAAAGATCCACAAGAAAGCTCTGGAAAGTACACGTGTTTTGAAAGAGAAAAAGGGGAAAGATAAGGATGGAGGGACCTGAGTCTGCAGATTAAAACCCCATCCTGTGAAGGAGAAGTATTTGGGAGCCAGCTCTTTCACTGGAGGCATGTGAAAGACAACTTTGTGTCCCATTCTCCAAGACCTTCTGTAAATCTCTCTTTCAAAGAGAAATCTATTCCCACAGACAAGCTATGCTGTAACCTGCAACAGAGAAGGAGACTTCTACAGTGAGTTCATCACTCAGGTCTTGGGAAGAATTTTACACCACTGGAAAAACCCCAACCCCATGATAACCAAGAAACTCACACTACTTTCTGCAGGGTGAGTACAACTTTTCATAACAAAAACACTTAAATCTTGGGCAAACTGACATAGAGAACTGAGGCACTTATTCTACCAATTCAGACCGAGCAACAAAACACTGGCTTTCTTCCTGGGTGTAAGAAAAGGCCTGGGGCTAGCACTGTTCCTTACTATATGAGGTACAGTTTCACCTTCTGCAGTTCATAGATTGTCAAATGCCCCTACCATGTGAGCTAAAATTCTGGTCAATGCTGTTGTTAAACATGTAGAGGACCAGGTCTCAGCAACACACTCAGAATCATCCCTCAGAGCAGCCTCTGCTATTCCAGATCTTTGTTTTGCAAAGAAGATTGTAAATTCCTACTTCTTCAATGCATTTCATCAAGTATTGGTGGATGGTCCACAAAAAATTCTAAGTAATCACATACTCTGTGAATGCTAATGTCTGTCAATCAACTAAAGTTCTTCCATGATCAAAAACAAACAAACAAAAAAGGGAGTCCATGTAAACACAACATGAAAAATGAGTTAGACAATTTAACGATCTATGGTCCCCTTTGCGTGACACACATTGAAGAATTGTTGCTGTCTAGGATAGAAAGAAGCAGAGAAAAAACCCAGGTCCTCCCTGTCTTGACTTGTAGCTTTATAACCTTGGAGAAGTTATTTAACCATCCTAAGACATGGGGATGTGGAAATCTGCAAAGTGGAAATTATAATATCTACCCCATGAAGTTGTGATTAAATGGAATTAGGCATGAACTTAGCCCAGTACTTCCACTCAGGTGTTTGTTTTTATTACTATGTGAATTTTTAATTTATTTTATTTTTATTTATTTATTTTATTTATTTATTTTATTTATTTATTTATTTTATTTATTTTAATTTATTTTTAATTCTATCTATAGAATAGATAGATATCTATAGAATAGATAGATAGAATTATCTATAGAATAGATAGATAGATATTTACGGAAAAAATATGAAAATGTAGTTCCAATCCCGTTAACACAACTGTTTCTTATTTTTCCATGTTGTCTTCTAATTTTTATCTTTAAATATACATACATTATACATTTATATATAAATGCAACCTTTTTATATTATGTTATAACTTAAATTATACTATAAACACTTTTTCATTCTGTTTCATAGTCTCTGTTATTACAGTACGTAGAGATTCTATGATGTTCATCAGGTTGGCACAACATACGTTAATAACAAGTTCCTCCACTGGGAATGGTGATTGAGTAGTAGAGAGACACTAAACTTGGAGCCTCAAGACCTGGATTTCTCATTTTCTCTTTCAAAGCACATGTGCTTTGCTGTGGATCTTTTTGAGTAGTGCCCTATCTCCTGGTTGAATTTCTCTGCTTCCAAAATAAACAAAACTTTCCAAACTCTACCACTCACTTAGGTCTGAAACCTTAAAGAAATCACACTATCTTTCTAAGCCCATTTCCTTATTTATAAACTATGAGAGAAAAACAATAAAGCCAGCTACCTTGGAGGATTGTTTTTGAGATGAAATGAAATAATATGTGTGAAAAGTCCTTGTAAACTATAAATTACTACACCACATATGTTTAAAAAAATACATCAATGTATTTTATAACTTTCTCTTTCTTTTAAGTGATTTCCTTGATATAATTTCCCAAGAAGAAGGAATTACTGTGTCCAAGAGTATGTCTTTTTTTTTGTTTGTTTGTTTTTGAGATGGAGTCTAGCTCTGTTGCCCAGGCTGGAGTGCAGTGGCACAATCTTTGCTCGCTGCAACCTCCGCCTCCTGGGTTGAAGCGATTCTCCCACCTCAGGTTCCTAAGTAGCTGGGATTACAGGCGTGCGCCACCACACCCAACTAATTTTTGTGTTTTTAGTAGAGACAGGGTTTCATCACATTGGCCAAGCTGCTCTTGAACTCCTGATCTCAAGTGATCTGCCTGCCTCAGCCTCCCAAAGTGCTGCGATTACAAGCATGAGCCACCACGCCCAGCCCAAGAATATGTCCATTTTAATGTCTCGTGATAGGTACAGCTACATTACCTAAAGCAGGAAGGGGAGCTTGAAAACAAATGGATAAAGATAAGCTCAATCCATTACTCCAGCACTCTCAAGAACCATGGCACAAACACAGAGCTATGTGTGTGTATATGTATCAGATGCATACACACATGGATGTGAAAATGATATGTGTGTGTATGTGTATATAGAATATATAATGGTTTGTTTTGAAGAGTGTCAAACCTGACACTAGAGAGTTGGACATGAAAACAGGAATGCAAGTAAAACCTTTCTGTTTATTTTATTTTTATTTTTACTAGTACTATTAATATCCATCCGCAAGTCATGGTTTAAAAAAAAAAAAAAAGCACGGGAAAACCAGCCTTTGCCATTCAAAAAGAAAAGCCTTTGAATGCAAGTGGATGCTCAAACCTTGCCCTGGCACATGCTTGTCCACCACATCTGCTGCTCCTCTGTGCTGGAGGGGATGGGCACCACAAGGGAGAAGAAAATGGGAAACTTCCAAGGACAGGCTTCAGAACATGGTCCCTTAGACAGGATGAAAATGAAGAAAAATGAGATGTACTGGCTCAGCTCATCTGTGGCCAGAAATACTCCATTCAGCTCAATGCACCTCACTTTTTATACCCTTTCTCCTTTTTTTAATCACCCCTTAATAAAAGCTCCTTTGAAAATGTTCAGTCTCCTCTCTGGGGTGGGTGGGGAGAGCTGAGGGGTAATGGGGCTGTGTCCTCCCCGGATGATACTGGGCTGACAGGCTGGTGCATGCCAAGTGGCTGGATATGCAGTGGCAGCTGCTGTATAAGGGCTCTTGGCAAGCCAAGAGTCTATGGGGTACTAGCCCATCTAGAAGGACAGATATCTGAGGCTGGTGTCCCCTTTGTGTTGGGAAGCAGTAACAGGCAGAGAGCACCCAGACCCACAGCAAAGGTCATCAGTTGCCATCAAAACCGATCTCATGAACTCTCATCTAAATCACTTTATCATACATATATACTAAATCAGAGGGACAGAGAACCAACACCAAACCACTGTGACCTCTGGCCTAGAGAACAGTCTTTTCAATCTGAGCCTCATTCATGTACCTAGCAACACCTAATTCTCCTTACTTCATGGAGTTTGGCAGTAGTTCACGGCCTCCTCCTAATGAAGAGGAAGTCCCATGGATGCCAGAGCAGACAAGATGCACTTTGAATCTCAGCTTCACTTGGGAAACCTGGGACAAGTTCCTTAATTCTCCTGTCCCTTAGGTTCCCGATATTTTAAAATGAGCTAATTCAAACCTCCCTCACCCGTCCCCTTAAACAATCAAAGTTACATTACTAAACACATTTTCTAAAACCAGCAATTGAAGCCTACAAATGCAATGTCTGTTTTACATTAACACTTAAAAGATCTGCAGGCTCATACATATTAAGTAAACAGCATAATAACAGAATTTGGGCTTTCATTGTTCTTTCCACGAAATACTTAATTTAATTTAGTGGCATCGTGGACACAAGGAGTCAAGCTCTGGTCTCAATTACTAAAATGCAACTCTCAAATGTACAGAGAGGATCTTCTGAAAGCTACTTTGATTCCAAAATGCAACAGCCCAGAACATCATCTCACCATGTTTACAATAAAAATCAGAGAGACTATGAAGAAATTGTTCATATAAATTGATTTTTTTCCAGAGAATGGCTGCAGCAATACCACAAGGAGAGTTTTCATGACCTAGTTCATATCCTGTACGGCTTTCAATTCGGTGGAGTTATCAAAATCCTTATCCCCCTACCTTCCTTCTTTTATCCCAGACATGTGCATATAAAAGGCAGACGATATAAATAAAGGTCGAGCTAATCTCTGAGTTCCATAGTCCATCCTTACAGATCAATGTCCTTAAACCATCTGAAAGCTACAGAAATCTCTCTGTTCCCGTCTTGGTTCCTATCATATTATTAAAGCATTGTACAAATGTCTCAGTCAAATTTTGTATCCCATTAATTGTGGATAGAAAATTCTGGCCAATGAAGCGAGAGTGGAAGTCTGCAAGAGAAGGATCTAGGAAGGCATTTGCATTTCCCAGTAAAAGTTTATGTCAACCCTTCCTCTTTATCCTTCCTCTTTTGCCCTTCTTTCCTCTCTCTTGTCCCTTCCTGGAATGGTTACATGGCTACTGGAGCTGTCGCAGCTATCTTGCAACCATGAGAAAAGAACCAGGAAAATTAAAGAGATATGAGCCTTAACATCAATAAGCCACTGAACTAAAGCTGAGAAATGCTACCTCTCAGCTTCTTGTTATGTGAAAAATAAATGAATCTCCATTTGCTTAAGTCTTTATATTTGGGTGTTCTATTATATCCAATTGGACAAAATGCAAACTGATATACCTGACAACTTTTCTTTCCCTCAAGATGATTTTAGAGCAGGCTGTCTTTTTTATAGCTCCACTGGAGAGGCATTCACTCTTACACAGGCTCTAATTACACCAGGCCTCAGAGCATGACAGCAGCCCCCTCTCCATAACCCCAGTTTCCGTAGATCTTGACCATCAACAAACACGTGTCACATAAACATACACACAAATAACACTACCAACCTGTGTCACATAAATACACATGCAAACTTACCAGCAAATAACCCATGTCTGTTCAAGCTAAATTAGAAAAATCAGTCAAAACAGTATCAGCAGCCTACAAGATGTACTTTATTTAGGGTGAAACATGTATCATCAACTTAGAGAGAAAGAGAGAGCCAGGCACAGTGGCTCACACCTGTAATCCCAGCACTTTGGGAGGCTGAGCTGGGTGGATCACGAGGTCAGGAGTTCGAGCCAGCTTGGCCAACATGGTGAAACCCCTCTCTACTAAAAATAGAAAAATTAGCCGGGCATGGTGGTGCACGCCTGTAATCCCAGCTACTTGGGAGGCTGAGGCAGGAGAAGTGCTCGAACCCGGGAGGCAGAGGTTTCAGTGAGCCAAGATCGCACCACTGCACTCCAGCCTGGGTGATGGAGCAAGACTCCATCTCAAAAAAAAAAAAAAAAAAAAAAAAGAGAGAGAGAAAGAGAAAGGCAAAGAAGAGAGAATGACAGAGTAACAGAAATACCTATCAAACTGCTATCATTATCTTAATAATTAATAGGCACCATAACTGAATACAATCTTTGTTCTTTATAAAGTTGATGAGTAAGGTGCCAGAAATAAAAATATTTGTGTTATCTCTTTACTGCATGTGTACCACTAGGATCATCCCCTCCTTCTTCCTCCTTAGCGTCTTCTCTCTCCCTTTCCTTCCCCTCTTCTTCTTTCCCCAATCAGGAATACAGAGAAAAACCCATCCTCTCGAATATCCCAGCTTCTTTATGATATTCATCCACACAGAGTCCTAGAATTTTTTAGTCTTATAATCCAAACTTTAATGAATTTAAGAATCCCCTGTAACCCCCTCTTGAAATGTGATCACTCTACCTCTGCTTGAATAATTTCTGCCTGTTGCTATCATGGCAGCCAAATGCCACTGTTTTACAGCTCTCCTTGCTAGAAAAAATTTCCCTGAGTTAAAGTTGGCTTTGTAACTGCCTCCAATCTCTCTTAATGACCACTAGAATGACACATTATAGCCTTTTGTTGCATGACAGGCCTTTAAGATACCTTTAAAATTATTGCTAAAAGTCTCATTTTCTTTCAGTTCCACAATTTGGCTATCTACAGCTTAAGCATAGCCCTGGGAACTAGATGAGATAATGCAAATAAAGCATCACCAAGATACACTAGGAGGACTTTGTATAAGTTCACCCCATGTCCCCACTTGTATCTGGGATATGTCACTTAGGTTAAATTCCAGGCTTAATTTTCCTGAAATACATATATGAATTTTTCTCTATAGATAAGTCTGTTCTTCCTTACTTTGCTTACCAGTTAAAAACTGTTAAGAATACAAGAGTCTATACATGTGATAAAATTGCTTGGAACTATACACGCATACACAAATAAGTGAATATAAAAACTGCTGAGTCATGGATAAGATCCGTAGCATGTAAAAATGTCGATTTTCTGATTTTAACATTGTATTGTAGTTACAGAGGATGTTACCATTGAAGAAATCTAGATGAAAGGGGATTTCTGTACCCTTTTTGCAAATCTCTGCAAGTCTATCAGAATTTAAATTTTTTAAAATTAAATATTGTTGAGTAAGCCAGAAAGAACCTAAGACCACACTGGCTTTCTTGCTTTTCCTAGTATACCATTAACTCACTATGAACTAAAATTTTGTTGAAGTTGTTATTTATATGAATTTCTGGTATTCCAGGACTTCCCATCTGTTCTTGTATACTTGAACTGTAAAAAAATACAAATATTTGATTTATCTCTTTTAAATTTGACTTGTTTTATTTTTAAACTCAGTGTTTTGGCCTGTCAAGATCTTCTTAAATCTTGATTATGTTATCCAGGGAATTAAATATCACACCTTGACCTTTCTGCTATCTGAAAATAGGCGAATTATACCTTTTATCTTCATCAAGGCCGAGGGAATCCAAGCTGACAAGGATCCATTAATCAGCACTCTTCATGTACATTTATAGTTTGCATTATTGAGTAAATTATAAAGACACTTTGATGTATATCATCATCCAACCCTCATTTCTCCATTTTACTCTCAAGGATATCATGGAAAATTTTACAAAACACGTGGATGATGTCCTCCGAAATGTTTTTGTGCATTTCCCTAATCTACAAATCTAAAAACCCCATTTAGATTTTTAAAATAATGAGCTCAGAAGCCACAAAAGAAAAGGACAATAAAGTTGACTACATTTTTTTAATAAATGTGACAAAACAAAAAGTCATAAGCAAAGTTGAGGACAAATCACAAACTGGAAAAATATTTGCAACATATGAGATCAAAAGACAATGTTATTTAATTTATAAATATTATTTATGTAATAAAAAGTTAAGCAACATAGAAATGAACAAAGGTTATGAAGAAGAGTTCAGGAAAATAAAAACATGAATGGTGGACAAATTTTTGAAGCAATGCTTAACCTTATTAATGAATAAATGCAAATCAAAACATAGAAATATGATTTTCCCTTATTAGATTTCCAAACACAAAACAAAAAATGTTAAAGCCTCATAGTGGCAACGCTGAGAAAAAACAAGCATTCTCTTCTGCTGCTGGCAAGATGTGTGTACATACCCCTAGGGTCTCTTTTTATGTTGTTCCAGTTTCCTTGTCTTACAACGATACCAGTCAGATTGAATTAGGGCCCACCCTAATGGCCTCATTTTAACTTCATCACATCTCTAAATGCCCTGTCTCCAAACATAGTCACATTGAGGTACTGGGAATTAGGGCTTATGATGGTTAATTTTATGTGTCAACTTGACTGGGTTAAGGGTTGCCCAAATAGCTGGGAAATCATTATTTCCAGGTGTGTCTATGAGGATGTTTTGAGTCAGTGGACTGAGCAAAGAAGATCACCTTCACCAATGTGGGTGGGCATCATCCAAGCCACTGAAGGCCTGAATAGAGCAAAAAGACAGAGAAAGGGCAAATTCACTCTCTCTTCTTTTTGAGCTGGGACACCCATCTTCTCCTGCCCTTGGACATTGGAGCTCCTGATTCTTGGGCCTTTGGACCCCAGAGCTTACACCAGTGTCCCCCTCCACCCCCAGGTCTCAGGTCTTTGGCCTTAGACTAGAAGTTACATTGTTGGCTTCCCTGGATCTCAGGACATGAGACTCAGACTCAGTGACACCACTGGCTTTCCTGGTTCTCCTGCTTACAGATGGTAGATTGTGGGATTTCTTGGCTTCCATAGTCATGTAAGCCAATTCCTATACTAAATCTCTTTTTTTATAAATATTTTTATGTATACACACATATGTAAGATATATATGAAATCCATATTATATATACACACATTTATATAATTTATATATATCTATATTCTATATATACCACGTGTGTGTATATACACACATATATACATATAAATGTGTGTATATTTAAGTATCACATATATCACCAATTGTGTGTGTATGATATATTATATATAATATATACACACCATATAATATGTAATATATTATGTATACATATACAAGCATATATACATATATTAAACTATATATTACATATAAACATATATATTAGGTATTATGTATATATATAATATGTATATATAAACATACTGGATATGTTTATGTATATATTATATATAATATATACATATATACATATATATGTATATGTATTATATATTATATATGTATTATATATGTATATATACATATATGTATGTATACATATAATATATGTATGTATACATATATACATACATATATATGTATATATTATATAATACATGTATATATTATATATAATACATGTGCATATTATATATAATACATGTACATATATAATACACGTTCATATTCTATATAATACATGTTCATATTATATATAATGCACGTACATATATAATACATTATATATAATATGTACATGTATTATATATAATATGTACATGTATTATATATATACATGTATTATATATAAAATATGTACATGTATTATATATACATGTATTATATATAATATGTACATGTATTATATATAATATATACATATATACATATATAATATATATACATATATAATATGTATGTATATATGTATATATAATATACATATATAATATATACAATGTATACATATACACATATACATATATGTATATATTATATACACATATTTACATATACATATATACATATATGTATATATTATATATACATATTTACATATACATATATAATATACTTACATAATATAGACATATGTATATATTGTATACAGGTATATATTATATATATTACATGTATTACATATAATATACATGTATATAATATATACATATATGTACATATATAGGTATATATTATATATAATATATATGTACATATATGTATATACTGTATATATTATATATACATATGTGTATATACTGTATATATTATATATACATATATGTGTATATATACAATATACACATATATGTATGTATTATATATACATATATACAATATATACATATATAATATGTACATGTATGTATATATTGTATATGTGTTATATGTATATATTATACATGTATGTGTGTATATATTTTATATATGTATATCATATATGTATATCATACACACACACAATTGGTTCTGTTTCTTTGGAGAATCCTGACTAATAAAGGGCTTTAACATACAAATTTGGGGGGACATACACCCATAAGACCATCAGTACCAGAGATGTTCACAGGAGGCAGGGTCATTGGAAGGACACCCCCAGGAAAGGCCTCAGAAGCAGGAGAGAATGGCCATGCAGGACAGCGGGTGGTGTTACATACATGGAAGGGAAGGGTGGTCATGGCAGCCAAGGGAAGAAACATGACCAGAGCCCCAGAGCAAAAGGTTGCAAGATGAGCTTGTGGGCTAACAAGAAAGTAGAGTTTCTGAAACCAAAGAGTAACCTGAAGGAATGGGAGGGAAGCAGATTCCAAAATTTTGGGAGACCTGGCTGAAGGGTTTAGCTTTGAAGTGACAGCCCAATAGGGAAGTGGTCAAGAATTCTGGGAAGGAGAAAGCATGAATGAAATTGCTCATTTGGGAAGATTTCTCTAGAACTGGTACTGGGTGGTGGTCAGCAGTTCACACAGAGGAGACATGAAAGAGAGTGAGACAGAAGCGTCTTTACTGACAACGAATCAGGACACACAGAAACAAGATACTTGCTCAGGAGGAAATAAGCAAACAAGGAGCATTAGAGGAGCAAAGTCACTCACTCCCATCACTCCAGGCTTCCCCAAGACCGTCGCAGCATTTTCCTGAGTCTCTTGCAGGTGTGAATTCAATTTTAATAAATATTGGTTTCTCCAGAGTTTTGAGATCATTGATAATGGCAAAAATGTTGCCTGGGAAGTTTAAATTCTACGTAACATCATTATTATTGCCATGGCTTTTGTTAAAAAAAAAATCATCCAAATCATGAGAGAGAAACAAAAGGTTGATATCTGCCCCTCCAAAACACAGAGAAACATACAAATTATATTTCCCTGTTTCCAACCCCTAGCCCCGACTCCCCAGCACCACCATTGCAACTTCCTGTTCATGAGCAATTTCTGTTTAAATTGAGATCCCATTGGGCAAAAAGCCTGATTCTAATTCTGCTCTCTGACAATGCCCAATGCTATTGATGATGCAGAATTGATGTTGAAATAGTAGTGATAATAGTAATTATTCCTGCATGCCATACTCAGTACTGATCACACCACCATCCACAATGAAATAAAAACAGGCACATGCATCCAGGACATCCCCATCTCCCCAGACAGCTCCAAGGAGGCTGCCAGATGATAGAGAAAAGCTGTGCCCTTCCTCTCCAGGACAACTGCTGCCTTCCAAGTGGTAGAAATTAATTCAATAGCTCCCAGGACGGCTTCGACAGGTGATTCTTCTAAGAATGGACCATTGTCAGAGGTGCATGGAGTGGCCTCGCTTTTGCATTTTGAAAGAAAGCATGTACTCAGAACAGCAGAGGTGTCAGTAATGTGAAACTGAATTGCCTGAATTGTCTGGGAGTGCCAAGAACCACAGCAAGGTCAGAGCTAGGTCAGCACTAGCATCCAGCTTCCTGCGCGGGGAGTCTCTGCACGCATCTCTTTGGTACAAGTCTGCGGCAGTAGCCCTGCTGAGGATACTCTTCATCCTGGTGCCATAGTGCTCCCAAAGCCTTCCAGGAAAGCAAGATGGCAGGGTAGTCCAAAAGGCAGGCTCTGCAGCGAGATGGTCTGAGTTCACGTCCTTGCTCTTGGTGTGTGGCCTTGAGAGTGGGACTTTACATTTATCTCAGTGATTTGAAATCCTGAATCTGCCCTTCAACGTAGGGTTGGCAGCCTTGTGAAGCTGGGCAGATCAACTGACTTTATCTACAAGTTGATGATGATGCCTACATCACAAGGTTGTCGTAGGTTCTAAGTGAGATAATGCACACAGCACACTCCTCCACCCCCGACGTGATAAATCCTCAATAGGCAATAGAAAGTTTACCTCTGTTATGCCTCTTATCACATCGTATTTTAGTTATCTGGCATGTTTCTATTCTTCCCATGAGTGTTTCTTTAAACAAAAATGTGGGTGCCTCCAGTTTCCAGGGCTACATTTTATTAATAGGTGCATCCCAGCACCTAGCACAGTAGAAGCCTCTCAGTTGGCAATAAACACATATTTGGGGAAATAATGAGCAGTCAAATCATTGAGGCTGATCAGACTAGAAAGGGAAAACAGGAAATAATCATTTATCTCACAAATATAAAGGAAGGGCTTTTATTTGGAGGGGAAGTCAGCTAACTATGGGATGTCCAAAGGAAAACCAGGATTAGAGATGCAGAGTGGCAAGGAAATTAAGATCTGTATAAGGAATAACTTTCTTAGGATTAGACAGGTGGAGAGGGAGGAGCGGCTGCCTTCAAATGTGGCCACTGTGGAGGGATGGGACTCTGCCCGGATGCCCTCCCATCAGGATGGGAGTGCTGCTGCCTGAGCATGGAACGGTGAAGCCAACGCCACCGGATAGTGGGGGATAACGAGCCTGTAAGGGAGCAGTAGCAGCAGGCAGATAATTTTGTATTCACTACTACAGCGCAGTGTTCCAGGAGTGTGCCAGAAGAGATCGTGGGTTCTACCTTTCCCCTCTCAGACTCCAAACTCCACACACACACACACACACACACACATACACACACACACAAAGAAGAGAAGAGAAGCTCTGGGAAAAATTTTCTTCCTATTTCACAGCAAAGATTTATTTTTAATGCCCCCATGTGGGAAATGAGCACTGAGCCGGGACGGGCTACCCAGGGGAGAACACAAATGCGCCAAGGCATTAGAAAGACTCTCCAAGGAGACAGATCCTTGGGAAAGCATTGCCCTCGGTGTGTTGCCAAAGCCAGTCTCCCTGTCTGCCAAGACAGTGCAACTCCCACGGGCTGGAGCTGCCCCAGGAGCCAGAGAAAGCCAGCCATGAAGGACGTCTGCCCAGACAGATAAGTGACAGTCAAGGAATTCTGGCCACCCTCATTCTCACATGAGCCTCGCAGGCTCCAGGGCTGTGTTCAGGGTGACCAGGATCCAGGGCTGTGCCCAGGGTGACCAGGCTGCAGGGCTGTGCTCTGGGGCCAAGCAACCTCGCACTGACTCACCACAGCTGGAGCTTTAACCGGCTCTTTGCACCCCCCTGTTTTTACTCACAGGCTCTGAACTCACCGACCTCAAGAGCAGGTAGTTTTCTAGGCTGCCAGTGGATGCTAATTATAGCCAGGCCAAGCAGAGCGGCTGCTGGGTCACACCTGTGCTGTTACTGCAGTTTCCCATGACTAGAGATTCTTAGCTGTTAGTTAAGGACAAAGTTGCCCAGGGTCAGCAGCTGAGAGCACAGGTGCCTGGGGCCACCACTGACACAGCCGCTCACCCTTCTCTCTGCCACTGCTGGCCTTGGTCTCCTCTTTGTTTTTCTTGCCTTCTCTCTTCTTTCTTTCCCTGCCCCACACCCTCTTTCCTTCTCCTTTTGCTCTCTTCCCTCCTTTAGCCATTCCCATCTGCCTTGAGACAGCAGATTTCCTGGTAATATTTTGACTAGGAGGTGGCTCACTTCCACTTGCAAGATCACATTTTTATTTAAAAAATTCATTATGCACCTGGCATGTGCCAGGCACTGTGCATTTCTATGCTGTGTGTTCGGTTGTGTGTGGAGGTGTGGGTGTGGGTGTGGGTTTCCCAAAATTCTGCCAGAGGAGTATGTTCCATAGATTTTGCTTTCCTCAAGTACTTTTTACTCTCATGCCTAGAATCACTCAACATGAACATTATTCACATTCTTTATCTTTCCAGAATAGCCTCCCAAAACACAGCACTGCACCTGCAGCCTGGACCCCTCCCCTCCTCAAGAACTGTGCTCCTGCAGTGATAGCTTCTCCCTCCTGAATCATCATCTATCTCTGGTCTTGATTCTTCCTGTCAACCTATGCGCATGCTTTAGGGTGACAAGTTGACAAGGGGTGAACATGTGGACTTAATTTTAGGTGTCAAATTGATCACAGAAGAAGTGAAAACATGGGCAAAAAATACAAGAAGTCTGCCCTCCAAATTATTGAGTCATGTACAACTTCTGCCCCTTGACACAAAGTGTCATGCTTGCCTTTCTAGAATGCCCTTTGTCATAGAATAAAAAGAATTTGACAAGCTCAGTGACATTGAGATTCCTCCAGTGTTCCAAAACACATTAAATAGCGAACTATTCTTGACTGGGGATTTGACTAATGAAGAAGATACACTACTTATATTTACCACTAAATATAACATGAAAAAAACTAGCTCATGCTTCAATTTGGCTAATGGATGGCACTTTGAAAATTGTCCCCACTGATTTTTTTTTTATCATCTATATACAATTCATGCAAAAGATTCTAAAATTTATCCACTCAATTATGTTTTAATGGCTGGGAAAAGTGAAGCACTTACAAATGCTTATTTGCAGATCGGGTGGACTTTGCAGAAGAAAATAGATTTCAAGGGAATTTCAAGATGTTACCAATAAAGATGTTTTTTTCATTCAGCCCAATGCATCTGACAGAAAATTTAGATGAGTGGCTTGGCCATGACATACAGCAACAACAGAAACTTCAGTTTAAAAATTTGCCATTTGCCTGCATTGGCATTTCTTCCAGCTGATGACATTACAAAAACTTTTAATGAATTAAAGCTGCATTTGCCTGGAGAAGCCAGCAAAGTTAATGAATGGTTGAAAAATAATTAAGTGCATGGTAAGATAAGAAGGCACTTACATAATGGCGTTCCCTTCAAACACCAGTATTGTTTCTGCCAAATGTGTGGTATGTATATGAGTGCGTGAGGAATGGATTTCCACACACCCAAAACAACATCGAGGCATGGCACAGAAGATGGGAAATTTTAATATGGAATGTTCATGTTGTTGTATGTCAAATCACAAGAGAATTTCAAAAAGAACAACATCGTGTAGAAAATGAATGTGAACATATTCTCCAATGAGAGCCATGGTCTAAAAGGAAAAAAGCATCTATTCATTATGATGCAAGACTTCAAAATATAGTTAACGATCATGAAAATTGGCCAGCTCTTATGATGGACTATCTTGATGAAATTACCCATAATCTATTCCTGTAATACACTTTTTCATATATTGATTTTTTTTCCATTTGGGTTTTTTTCTTTTTTTCTTTTTTAGTTTTGGTTTTGTTTGTTTGTTTTTGAGATAGAGTTTCACTCTCATTGCCCAGGCTGGAGTGCAATGGTGCAATATTGGCTTACCACCACCTCTGCCTCCTGGGTTCAAACGATTCTACTGCCTCAGCCTCCTGAGTAGCTGGGATTACAGGCATGCGCCACCATGCCCAACTAATTTTGTAATTTTTTTAGTAGAGCTGGGGTTTCAGCATGTTGGCTAGGCTCTTTTAAATTGACAGCATTATGTTTTACCATTCGCTATCCTATCTTTGCATCATTTCCAACTCTGGAGGTATAGGTTGTGTAGAGGCTTTTAGAGAGTTCGAATTCATTTAATGCATTTTTTACAAATTTGACTCCATGAAATTATCACATTATCACACTGTTGACTTTGTGTGTAAGCATTGTGCACTACGCATAATTTAAAACACTGAAACTTTCTCAATAAATTAAGAGATGTCCTTTTTGTACATCTGCATTTGTGAAAGATAAAATTTCACAAGATTTCAGCTCTTTAGGTGACTGCATGTTCTGTGGTAACCCATCAAGGTTTTTGACCGATCTTGTCAAAAAATTTAGGTTGTTTGTCATGGTATTTCAGATGACCACAGTTATAAATCTGGGTACACACAATTCCAACCATAGTCATATGCATGTCTACATTTCCCTTTTGACCTATTTCTTTTTTAATATAGTTCATCTACTTATAACTATTATGCCCATGCAACTGCCATTAACACACTTGAGTGTTTATGCTTGCAAAAATATGTATAGTGTCACCTCATTAATTGTGTAAAGTGGGCTGTGAAATATCCTGTCATGTTTTTATGTTTCTTAAATAAACCCCCTTTTCTAAATGTAAATAAATCTCTTAAAGATTTTTTTTCCAGAATTAAATTTTAAGGATTTTTATCTTTTCGGATTTCAACATCCAGAATTATGGTGTTCTGAATTAGAATCAGCTTCCTTTGTCAGGTAGTTTCATACTTAATATTGGCCATCTGTGTTTAGTGTATATCATCACATAGTTAGAAGATGAATGGAGCTGATGGTTGAGATGGCTGAGCAAAACTTCAGTTGTCTTTTATTTCATATGCATGGGATTTGTGCCTGTAAATCAAAACTTTCTGCCTTCTTCTTCCACTTAGCAGTGTGTGCTGGCCTGCAAAACATAGATTTATATTTGAAGTTCTTACAACGTGTCCAAATAATCATATGCCATTAGTTTTTTTATTAGCTCACAAAAATAACAAATATTTATAAAGAATTATTTATGTGGTAGACTGATTAAAGAGACCAATACATTCTAAGATTAAAATTTTAGAACAAATAAGACTTAGAGCAATTATTTCCCCAGAAAGGGACACAAGCCAAAATTATGAGAAAAAAAAAAAAAGGCAGGTAAAGTGTAAAACCATTCATTAATGACGCATTCTCTCTGAGTAATTAAGAGTTCCATTTAGTATGGGGGCACTCCCAATCTTTGAATCTGACAGCCTGGAGGCCGACTACTTCTCACAGTGCTTCACTGTGGGTCCCCATGGGACAGAAATCTAAACTTAGGTAGAACATAAGGGATATTCATGGACCCGTCCAGGACAAGACTTCATCCATCTCAAACTTGTGTCTTTGTACCTTAGGGAGAGCTAAAGCTTGGCCATCTGTGCCCCATCAAGGAAGGGTGACAACTGGTGTGAAGTAGAATGAAAAACTGTCCTTGTTACACTGTGTGTGTGTGTGTGTGCACGCGCACGCGAAGAGTCAGAAAGGTAGCTCATCTCATATTCTGCTGCTAGGAGTGATCATGGACATGACCTCTAAGGAAGGGAATTTGACAATATTTACCAAAATTACAAATGCATACCCTTTGATTCAGTGATTCCATTTAAGGAGTTGATCCTACAGGTATGCTCTCCCATGCATGCATGAATGTACAGTTATTCGTTGCAATAGTGTTTGTTAAAGCAAAAACTAGGAACCGCCCTTATATGTCCTTCATCAATGGACTGGTCTGTGGTTTAGACGCTGTAAGCAGAGGCATTGCTGGCCAAAGTTCAAGCTCTTTATCCAGCGCCAGAACATCTCACAAGGTGGAATCAGCCCAACTTCTCAGCTTCATTTTCCAACTCTCTCGCCATGAATTCCACCCTCCATTTGAACTTTAAACTCCTGCAGGACAGAGACCTGTCCTGAGGCAGCTTTGTATGCACATAGGTGCCACAGTGGTCAACTCAGATCGTGCTATGTGGACTAAGTCATTATCTGTGGGTGAATGGACACCCGAATAACCAGTCCTGATGCCCTAAACTCCCTCTCACACCCTTTCTTCACACTGCTGCCTCTGTCTGGAATAACCCTCCTCCCTCTTTGGTGAAACCCTAGTTATTCCTTACAGCCCACTTTAACCTTTCCCAAGCCAACATGTTTCTCTCCCATCTCTATCCCCAGAGCCCTTTCCCAGTACCTATTACAAGGCAGGTCTCGTTATACTCTTGTCGTTGTGTAGATCTGCCACCCCTTTCAGATTATAAAATCCTTGAAAGTGAAGACTATTTGGTATTTTTATCCCCAGGGTCTGTCATAGTTCCTGACACACATTAGGTACTCAACAAATATTTGTTGTTGAATGACTTGTGAGGGAAGGAAGAAACTTGGAGAATCTTCACTAGTCATCTTATTAGCTGAGAAATATACATCAGCATTTCAACTCAGTGAACTGCTATCTTGGAAATCCAGAGGTCCTAGCCTTTGGGATTCAGATAATGAAGCAACAACATTTTAATGGGGAGGAGGAGGCATGGAGTTACTTTATCATTTCCAAAACCCAATTATTCTTTGAGATATACCAGAATTCAAAGAGAGTTTTTTCTTATCAACAGAGTTTCCCGCAGTCCTTTTTTGAGACATGGTTTTTGAGCTCTGTAACCCCTGAGTCCCCCATAAGGAAACTGAGCAAGTGAAGACATCCAGGCAAAAAAAAAAAATATAGCCACCTTCTAGGGAATGCCCGAAGTTGGAGCAACCATCCCAGTTGCTATAACCACAGTGACTAAATGATGAGCTACTTCTACCCTCTCCTAATTAGGTGGGAAAAGTCCCCAAAGAGGCAACTGAGACAGCAAGAACCTTTAAGCTGTGCAGCAGACACTAATGCTGAGCTATTTTCAGTAGCAGTCAGCATCCTGGCCAGGTAAACACCAGAAACCTGTTCTGTTTAGGGGCAGTCCTGCCTGACTGGCTAGTGGCAGCAATTTAGTTGATTTATTTATGAAGAACCCATATGAATGTACTCCCTAAATCACTGCTAGCTCCTCCAAGGATGCAGTTTTAATGTTATCACTGCTCATTCAGCCAAGAGAGGCAAAAAGACTTCCCCATAACTCACAAAGCTCCTAATCCCCAGAGATTCATCACATTTTGATTCACAGCAGCCCCACTCCAGGAAGGAACAAAGGCATCATTCCAATGGGTTCATTGTTCTTTCATCCACTCTCTCATTCATTTGTTCAGCATACCTTATTGAGTATCCACTGATGCCAAGCACTGTGCCAGGCATTATGAGACTAACAAAAATTAAAAAGGCAAAATTGCTGCCTTCAAGCAGCTCTTATAGTCCATTAGAGAGGGTAAAACATGTACGTAATTAACCCTAATTGATGGCAATACTGTAGACTACAAAAGCTTTGCACAGTTTTAAAAAGTGCTAAGGGTGATTGCAAAATTCTCTTGTGTCTGGGTCCATCTATAAAAACTTCCTGAAAAAGATGGCATTTGGACAAAGTTATGAGGGAAACCTAGGCTTTGCCTGCATAGCATCTAGAAAAGAAAGTAACTCAAGTAAACACAATTACATCATGAAAAGGCCATCAGATTGAGATAGAAGTAATCTGAGATCTTGTCCCCTAGCTGCCACTTACACATATGTGATCTTGAGCAATGCTCTTGGGCATCTGTTTGTTCATCTAGAAGGTGCAGGGTAAACCAGAGAATCTGTGGCCTCCATTCAGTTCTGGCATTTTGTGTGGTACCCTGCGCTCCTGACATAGTTTGGATCTGTGTCCTTGCCCAAATCTCATGCTGAAATGTAATCCCCAGTGTTGGAGGTGGGGCCAGGTGGGAGGGAATTGGATCATGGGGGAGATTTCTCACGAATCATTTAGCACTATCTTCTTGGTGCTGTCATCGTGATAGTGTGTAAGTTCTCATAAGATCCAGTCATTTTAAAGTGCATGGCACCTCCCCTCTCTCTCTCTCTCTTGCTCCTGCTCTGGCCATGTGATGTGCCTGCTCCCACTTTGCCTTCTGCCATGATTGTAACTTACCTGAGACCTCCTCAGAAGCCAAACAGAGGCCGGCATCATGCTTCCTGTACAGCCTGCAGAACCATGAGCCGATTAAACCTCTTTTCTTTATAAATTACTCAGTCTTAAGTATTTCTTTATAGCAATGCAAAAACAGACTAACATGGCTCCCAAATTAGGAGGTGAGGTATCAGGAAGAAAGGAAGACAAGGAGTTAGCCAACCCTCAACTACATACTTCTGCTCAGAGACCCCCACGACAGATGATCAATAATTCCAAGGCATGTCTGCTGGTGCACATACATTGAGGCACACCAGTCAGATGTCAGCAGAGAGGTGTACATGAAGGGGAGAGCAGGAAGGAAAAAGATTAGCTAATTTAAGCAGATTTTTAATAATTTCTCAGGCTGGACATCTCCATCTCCAATAGATGATGTCTCAACTCCACTACTGCAGAAGCAGAAATGAAGGAGATTTGAGGTGGCTGTTGGTTTTTACTTTTTCTTACTTGTTCTAAACTGTGCTATTACAATAGAGGAGGTAGGCTGGGCAAACCGTATATCTGCACTGCACTTTCAAGAGCCCAATGAGAGGTATCATCGAGAAATCACAGCCCCTAAGTATGATGGCAGGAAAGGGCAGGAGGGGAGAGAGAAGAGAGAACAAAGCAAGATTAAGCACCAGAGAAAAGGAAAGCTAAAATGACTTCCTTTTTTCCAATGAAACTTCTAGTTTTACTCTTAAAAACCTCTACTAATAACCCCTGTGCCCATTTAAGAGCAGGGTTCTCAAAACTTCAGAAACTGGCAGCCTGTTCTTTCCTTTTTTTAACCAGCCGTATTTCATTTCTGGATCATCGCATAATATGCCAAGGGCCCTCCTCCCCCATACGCCATCACCTGCTCATTTACCTGAGCTATCTTCCAGACTCTGCATCTGTGAGAGCCCAGCAATAGTTCTTCTGATTCCATTCCCAGACACTCTGAGAAAGAGGCAGCCACAAGTCCTAATGTGGACACGTTTATACAACCAGGCACAGACAGATATAATTAGGCAGTAGTGCACCTAATCAGAGTTTGAATTTTCTTAGAGGTGCACAAACAATACTAATTTGATGGTGAAAGCATCTGTGTATCAAATTTAGAGGAAACGACCCAAGGAAAGCATTTGATTAGAAGAGACAAGAAAATGGAGGAGAAGGCAGTGGCTAAGAAGCAAATTTGTTTTTTTTGTGTTTTTTGTTTTTGTTTTTGCTTTTTGATATTTGGATAGCAGGTAAACAACACTATTTACCTGAAGTGGATCTCTTTCTTTTGAAAAATTAACTTATATTCAGAAACACGTGTGGCTCATGGCTTCATATTGAGGCTGTAAGCACTGGCAGGTTGCAGTCTTGCATTTGATCAGCCCCTCTTGAGGGCAGGGAGGCCTGCCTTTCACCAGTCATTGGCTCAAATCTCTGTACTCCATCTCTGAGAATTTGTGCAACAGGCACACAATTGTTAAAGTGTTTAGAATATCAGTTGATATGTAATTTTACATTCTGCTTTCCTCCCATTACCATTACAATATTTTTTCATAATGATCTTAGTAATTATTTATAATAATGTCATGGGCGTCCCACAAGTAGATATGCCATATTTACCAAACTGTTCCCTTTGATTAAACATTTAGATTGCTTGCTCTTTTTAAATTAAAAATAATACAATACAGCACCATGGAATCTTGGGACGAAATGAAAAATGAAAACTACCTTGAACCAAGCATGAGATAAAAATCTCCTAGTGTCTCCCACCTTACCAGGAATTCCTCACTGGGAGCAGAACTAACAATCAGTATTTAACTGAGCACCTGCTAAGTGTCATACTGGAACCCTCTAAACTTGTCATTATTGAGCTTGCTAAGCAAAAATAACATAGATAAAGATCTTCCTTTCATTTTCTCATCTGTCAGCTTTTGTTTTGAGTGGTTTTAGGACCAAACTCTTCTCAGGGAATGAGATGTTGCTGTGTTCCTTAATGTTTTCATCTTAGCTATGATGCAATAAACAATATTCAGGATGCCATCTATTGCTAATTGCATGTATATGTTTTTTTCTTTTCAAAGACAGTCATGAAAAAGGTGAGAAAATGTATTGAAAGTTAAAATTGGCAAAACTGTGGTCCTGAACTCTCAAAAGCATCAAAGCAAATGAAACTGCTGTGTGTAGATAGCACTAGAAGGCAATCAAGAAAAGCCAAGCAAAACAGTGGGACCTAGATAAAAAGGGTTAGCAGAAAGCAAGGGATTCAAAAAGGGCATCTCAGCAGCCAAAGGAACTCCAGGTTTTCCCTCTTAACAGATGAAACTGAGAGACACAGATTTAACTACAAATAGGCAGATAAACAAGAAAGCCTTTGCAATGAAGTACAGGCAATGAAGACTTTGAAGTGCTCATAGAAGAAAATCCAAACTCCCAAGCAAAGTAAGCAAGGCTGGCTTACCACTTCCCTCCTCACCCAGTGTTTACTCCAACCCAGACCATCCCTGGCCTCCTGCCCTCTCCTGCCTCTGTGTCTCTGCTCACCTCATTTCCTCCACCACGAAGGCTGTGCCTCTTTCTCCCTAACATCCGGCCAAAACAACCTTATTCCTTACATCTGGCAAACCCAGTACTAAAGTCGCTCTCATGGGTACAAAATAGTAGTTAGAAAGAATAAATAAGACCTACTATTTGAAAGCACAACAGGGTAACTGTCATCAATAATAACTTAATTGAACAATTTAAAATAAAAAGTCTAATTGCGTTGTTTGTAACTCAAAGGATGGATGCTTGAGAAGATGGATATTCCATTCTCCACGATGTGCGTATTTCACACTGCATGCCCATATCAAAACATCTAATGTGCTCCATAAATATATACAACTACTATGTACCTACAAAAATTAAAAATACAAATAAAATTTTAAAAATAAATAGGTAAAGTCGCTCTCATCATGAAACATCTCCATGCCCTCCCAATTGGAAGCAGTCTCTTCGCCATTGCACAAAGCTGTGGTCCCTCCCCTGCCCCGCCTGCCACATTCTGCCAGACTGTGCCTCTCTCAGCTCATTGTGACTTCTTGTTCATCTCTGTATTGCTCACAGCACTTGGCTCAGTGCCTGCTCATAGTCACCTCCCAATAAATGTAATCAAACCACGGACCAAACAAAATAGTTACTCCATTAATTGAGGTGGAAGTTGTAGCCTGGAGCCCAAAGAACTTTCCTCAGTTAAGGGAAAGTGCTACAGGGAAGAGTGATGAGGACAAGATGTGTAAAAGTAGCCTCGGGACACAGTGACTTTGTGAGAAAATGACTACTTAGAAGTCATCAGGAAAAGGAAATTGGGGGTTAGACAAACCACCTTATCTCTTAGCTCTCCCTCCCCTTCCCCTGTCTCCCTGGAACTCCCCATCCTCCGCTAGATAACAGAAACTGCCGCAAGCTTGTGTGGTAATAACCCCGAAATTTTTTGATAAGGAGTATGGGTTTGGAGATTTCTTTTTCTTTCTTCTTTCCTTCTATGTTTTGCTTCCAAGATTACAGAGTAAATTCACAAGAGAGAATATTAAAGCCAAAATTATGTCAACTGTGTCTCAAGAAGGTGCTTTTAACAGGATGAAGTGGATTGGGGGAGAAAGGCAGGAAGCTGAAATAATGTCAGAGCCCGATTTGCTGATGGATGTGCCGCTCCTTGTGAGTGTAGCCAGCCTCCCAAGTGTGTACAATGGGAGGTGTCAGAAGCAAACAACGTGCTGAGTGTACGGGAGGGAAAGGGTTCCAGACAGCCCCCACCACTTAAGCCCTGCACTTTTTAAAGGTCAAAACAAGTCCAATGCTCACTCCTCCATCCAGATCAACGACCCTGTGTCCTCCCTTCTTCTCCGTCACTTTTTGAGAAACACCTGAACCATATTCACATTGCTTCTCATTGGCTCTGGCCACACTCATTGCACTCACACAAACCTTTTCCCAGCTCAAAACTCCAGTGTAAGTTCTCCTTTCAGCTCAGTAAGACAATGAGTGACCTTGCCTCCTCCAGCATGCCCAAGACCAAGGTTATTAACAGAAGTCCCTGAATTCTCTCCTCTCCGGAATTCCCAGTGTGTGTCTACCATCTCCATCTCTCTGTGCTCAGAGGAAGGAGCCTCAGGGGACACCCTAGTTTCTCTCCCCATCTTTACCCTTCCACTCCCTTTCATTCTCTTGGTTCTTCCATCAACACATGAAATCTGAGTTCATCTGGGTTTCTTCTACATGTGTTTTTTGTTTGTTTGTTTGCTGGCTTGCTTAACTGTATCATTCACTGATACAGAGAATTTATTTGGATTGATCTATTTACCATCTTTTCTAATTTTCATTTCCACTGGGCAAACATATTTTACAAAATATTCAACATATACTTGGATTTTTCACTATTATAGCGCAGCCAGGGCAAGGGACTTCTGGTCCACCCCATAGTCCCTTTTTAAAGGATATGATCTCACTGTTATATTAACAAAGAAAATTAAGTTATAAGTTTACTCTTTCTATATGTCACCCATGTAACATTTTACATCATCAGCCTTTTCTCCATCTTATGAATAAATCCATTGAAATTAACTAAATATTGTCAAATTTTTAATACATTTTATTATTTCTTTTCAAACATTATTTTCAGGGAAATAAAGTTAACTTCCCCTCAGGTGTTCTACAATGACTCTACACCTCTGATTTAGCTTTTACTATATTTTCACATGATGGTATAACCAGACATTTTTTGCTTTAAGACAAACCCGCCCTCATTCCCCATTATTAAATTTATTATCAGTCAATTTGTCTTCCCTCTTGCTTTTCAGATAAAGCTAAAATTTCCAGTGAATGTCTTACAGCAGATTTTCAGTAGAGTATAATAAGTCATTTCACATGTATTCATCACCCCAAAATGTTGTATTTTAAAACTGCAATTTTCTTAATTGGCTGAAAAATAGTATGGCTTAGTTTCATTTGGTTATGCTGAAATAATTAAACACACACGCATTTTTAATCAAGAAAGAAAAATATCTTTAAGATATGCCGATTTGAAAAGGCTGCAAAGTAAAAAACAAAATAAAGCCAAATATCAAATCTAGTTTGTAGTAAACAAAACAATAATTGGCAGGTTAAATGGATGAAAAAATGAGGCATGTGCAGTGAAAAATAAAAACCAAGGTAAAGATTTCAGTTGGTGAAATTAAAAGCCTATGAAGTTTTATGGTCTGTTTTCCAAAGAATGTATGTTTCAGTGTGAATTTTTTTTTCTTTTTTTTTTTTTTTGAGATGCAGTTTCACTCTGTTGTCAGGTTGGAGTGCAGTGGTGCGATCTCAGCTCACAGCAACCTCCGCCTCCTGGGTTCAAGTGATCCTCCTGCTTCAGCCTTCCAAGTAGCTGGGACTACAGGCATGCACCACCATGCCTGGCTAATTTTTTGTATTTTAAATAGAATCAGGGTTTCACCATGTTGGCCAAGGTGTTCTTGATCTCTTGACCTCGTGATCCACCCATCTTGGCCTCCCAAAGTGCTGGGATTACAGGGTGAGGCACTGTGCCCAGCCTCAGTGTGAATTTTTAAATACTGCAAACATATATGTCATGTAGAATTAGGTGTCAATGTTAAAACTTCCAATTTTGCATGCTAAGTTTATTGAAGAAACACTGTAAAAGCCTAGTGTTTACAAAATTCTATGTGTTGGCAAATATTATAAATACCATAATTAGTTGATACTATAAAGTCATGATGAATTCAGAATTAAATGAAAATCCACTTCATAAATATTTCATTTGATTAAAAATGCCAGAGTTGGATGTTCTAAATGAACTAAAAAAAATTAAAGTCTTTTAAAAATAAGACCATAGACCCAGTGGCTCATGCCTGTAATCCCAATACTTTGGGAGGCCAAGGTGGGAGGATCACTTGAGCCCACAAATTCGAGACCAGCCTGGGCAATACAGTGAGATCTGTTCTCCACAAAAAAAAAAAAAAAAAAAAAAAAAAAAAATTAACACCATTTATATAATGTAGTCTGTATATGTATACCTTTAGCTGCCATTTGAAACAACAACAAAAAACATAGAAAATATTAAAGCTGATATGAAGTAAGCTTATAATTCTCTCATGCTTACATTTCAAGAAAAGAAAAACCCTTATACTCATTTATAAATAGTCTGTTTACCAGTAAATACACAGAACTCTCCTTATCCCAAAATCCGTTTGCATTTGCCACTTAACTAGGCTTTGTCCCTTGCTTTTTGGAACCCAGATTGCGTTCTGAGTGTTTTTACGCTTTTGGTGTGTTCTGCTATTTGTGCAGGGGAACCATATTATGAAGTTTTTTTTTTAACTTCTATTTGAATAACACCAAAAACTGTGGAAGCCTTCCTCCAGTCTTTGATGATCCAGACCAAGGGATTGTTCTTTTCCCACTCTTTTTGGAGCTCTGGCTAATCCTCAAACTTAGTTAGACTGGAAAGGAGCAATAGTGACTTAAGTACAATGGAACCACTGCTGCTTATGAAACACATCTTAGACTTATGGAGTGTGAGACTGGCCCAAAGAAGGGTCTTGGAAGCAAACTACAAAGATATTTTTAGCTTTATCTGAATTACAGAAACATCTTCAAAAGGACTTTCTCATTCTCACATCTCCATCCTTCAGGTCTTCAAAGACTAGCTCTTAGACTAGGGTTGGTTGCTAGCAAAACGGATAAAAGTAATTCTCCTTTTGTGTTTCTTGTTACCAGGTCAAGTCAAAACCAAGAAGTCTTGAAACAGAGAAATGTAAAGTTTATGTCTGTCTTATTTTTCAAGTTCCCATGGCAGAGCAATACTTTGCTTGTTTCAATTCTACGATCCTTTCACTTTTTCATCCAGTTACTCCAGTTTGTCAGTAAAATACTGGCACTCTAATTGGCCTTTCTTCTAGTTAATATCGGAGGGAATTCCCTGTGTTATCAATACAACGTTCTCTAGATGCTCAACCTCAGGGTGATCTTTTGGAGAATGTCTAAAAATGCCTTATCACACTAAAGATTATTTGATGAGGCAACTTTAAGGAATATCTAGGAAATTCTAAAGATCTAATTTTTGACTGAAAGGAGACTCAAGACATTGCTCAAGAAGTCTTGCATTCTTGAATCTTGTTTTTTTGGAAAGAAGTGCCTTGGCCACCAGCTGGTTATGACGATAGTCTTTACAGGTATTTAAGCTTGGCAACCAGTTCATGAGAATGGGCCCAGTCTGTTCCACTATTTCATCAGGTTTGGTTGTTTCTCCTATTCTTGCCAACAAATCTTCATGCAGAGATATGTAAGCATTCAAGTCACCAAATATAAGCATGAGTGCCCCCCATGAAACAAGAGACAACTGTAGTATGAGCTCATGGTATGCCTTTCTTGCAACCTTGAGATCCTCCATTAAATCCTGTTCCCTTCGGGACATTTCACATATAGCCCTACACTGATGTTTCTCCAGTAATGACTCCTTCACATACCATCTAATATCATTAACCACAATATCTTCTTTTAGTTGGTGTTGGGACCATTGATCTGCTAAATGACCTCTGAGCACAAGTCTCGGATGTGTTGTCACCATGAAGCGTAAATATATTTTTACACTAAAGCTCCATTTCTCACAGGAGAGATTAAGATGCCAAGGATATGACTGGAGCTTAAAGTCAGGGCTGCTAAGGCTTACGACATTGCAATCTTTCTCCCTTCAATTCCTTTTCAAAGTGAAGGCTCAGTGGAGTGCAGGTTTTCAAAAATGGAAAGGAGCTACCTCTCTAAGATAGAAAGGAATATCGCTTGTCAGGATCTGGCCCTGGATTGGGGTGTTGGCAGAAGTCTAAGTGGCACCAGAAGTACTAAGCCCAGAGACCTGGAGGCTCTGCCTCTGTGGCTGGGCTGCTAGCCTTGATTTCCCATCTTTAAAAAACCCCTCCCCACAGCTCTTCTACTGTCCCACTTTCCTTTGCTGATAATCATCTGGAAAATAATAATAATAATAATAATAATAATAATCCCATTATTCTTTTGTCAATTCAATGATATTTTATTCTACCCTACCTCCTCCAGTAAACATAAACTGTGTCTCAAAAGTTATGAATTGCTTACTCTTAATTGTCAAAATCCAGCGATCCCTCTTCAAAACACCTGACTCTCTGTAATTTCAGAGCAATGCTGATCACTTCTTTCTCAAAATTCTCTCTTCCCTGGGCTATTAGGAGACCCTTGTAAGTGTCTTGTATCCTGACCCCCACCTTGTCCTTTAAAAATATTCCAGAATAATCTGCCTTCATATTCTTTCCTTTTCCTTTTCTTCTCTGTACATTCTATATTAGGGTTCTCCAGAAGGACAGAACTAATAGGATATACACATATAGGAAAGGAAGTTTATGAGAGAAAATTTGCTCACACAATCACAAGACAAAGTCCTACAATTGGCTGTCTCCAAGCTGAGAAAGAAGCCAGTTGTAACACAATCCAAGTCCAAAAGCCTCAAAAATAGGGAAGCCAACAGTGCAGCCTTCAGTCTGTGGCCAAAGGCCCGAGAGCCCCCAGCAAACCACTGGTGCAAGTCCAAGAGTCCAAAGGCCGAGGAACCTGGAGTCAGGTGTCCAAGGACAGGAGGAACACATGGAAGCACCCATCATAGACGAAAGATGAAAACCAGAAGATTCGACTAGCCAGCTTATCCCACCTTCTTTTACCTGCTGCCATTCGATTGGAAGGTGCCCACCGACATCGAGGGTGAGTCTTCCTCTCCCAGTCCACTGACTCAAATGTCAATCTCCTCTACAATACCCTCACAGACACACCCAGAAACAGTAATTAACCAGCTATCTAGGCATCCTTCAATCCAATCAAATTGACACCTAAGATTAACCCTCACACATCCGCAGCAGCCTCATTGTTTCCATCATCTTTATAAAAATATTGCCCAAATCTACATCAGGATGGTGTTTTACAAAGATGCATGAGCAACAGTGGTCAAATGCAGCAGGAAGGGAAACATGGAGGGCAGGTATATTCCCAAGGAGACTCTTTCATCAATCCAGGTGCAAGGTGATGAGGTAAAAGACTGTGAATCATAATGAGATATCATTTCACACCCATCATGAAGGATATTACTTTTTTAAAAAGGAAAAAAAGTGTTGGTGGAGATATGAAGAAATCAGGATCTTCATGTATTGTCAATGGGAATGTAAGACGGTACAGTTGCTGTGAAACATAGTTTGATGGTTCCTCAAAGGTTAAACATAGAATTACCATATGATTCAGCAATTCTACTCCTAGGTATATACCCAAGGGAATTGAGAAGAGAGACTCAAACATATTCCTGCACACCAATATTCAGACCATTAATCTCAATAGCCAAAAGGTGGAAATAACCCATGTCCATCAACAGATGAATTGATTTTTTTAATGTGGTATATACATACAATGGAATGTTATTCAACCATTAAAAAGAAGAAAATTCTGATCCATGTTACAACACGGGTGACCTTGGAGACATTTGCTAAGTGAAACAAGCCAGTCAGTCACAAAAGAACAAATATTATATGATTCCACTTATATGAGGTTACCTAAAATAGGCAAATTCATAGAGACATACTGTAGAATAGAGCTTACCCAGGGCAGGGGAAAGAGGAAATGGGAAGTTATTGTTCAATGGGTACAGCGTTCCCATTTGGGATGATGAAAAAGTTCGGGAAATTGATAGTGGAAATGATTGCACAACCTTGTGAATGTACTTAATGCCACCAAATTGTACACTTGGAATGGTTAAAATGGTCAATTTTATGTTATGTGTATTATACCACAATAAAAAGTTTTATTTTATAAAAGGAAAAACCAAAACGTATGAATGGCAAGTGAATGGAGGACAAGTTTCATCTGAAATAGTTTCAAAGGAAGAAATAAGAGGCCTTAATGGCAAATAACATAGCGATACAGAGGGCAAGGAGTGCAGAGAGAATTGAAAGAGTAAGATCAATCTTCATCCTCACTTTGTGTTCATTTTGAAGTTACTCACTCATTTGTTCATTTATTCTACTAACATTTATTAAGCATCTACTACGTGCCACGCACTGTTCTAAGTACAAGAGATAGGGGATACGGAAGTTAATAAAATAGGCAAAGTCCCTGATCTCATGAAACTTATTTTCTAGTGGAGGATAATAGATAAGGAACACATAATCATATAAATGTAAAATTTGTTAAGATGTCAAAAGTGCTATAAAAAATAATAAAAGGAAATAGGAAATCATGGGGCGTAGAATGCTATTTTATATGCAGTAGTCAAGGAAGACCTTTCAGTTAGGTCTAACTGATTGATCAAAGGTCTAAAGGAAGTGAGTGAGTGAGTCACATAGGTATTTGTGTAAAAAGCCTTCAGGAAGAGGAAACACTAAATGCAAGTATATACAAAGTCCTGAGGTTGGAGAGTTCAAGGAAATCAGCAAAGAGCCCATGAAGTGGGAGCTGAGTGAGTGATGAGGAAGTAAGAGTTGAGGTCAGAGAAGAAGTCAGGAGGGGGAGATCCTGTGGACTTTGGCTTTCACTGTGAGAAAAACAGAGAACTATTAAAAGTTAGGGGCAGAGAAAGGATATAATCTACTTTGTATTTTAAAAGCTTATTATGAGGAAAATACATGGTTGGGGTTGCATTCAGGGGGATCCTTCAAGACCACCCTCAGATTCAGTGATCTGCTACAAATAACTCAGAACACGGCAAAGCTATTAGACTCACTATTGTGGTTTATTCCAGCAAAATGGCACAGATTAAAATCCACAACGGAAAGAGGCACACAGGATATGGTCCAGAAGAAAAAGGTGCAAGCTGCCGTTTATCCCTTCCTTGTGGAATCAGATAGACAGTGTTTAATTCTACCTGCAATGTTGTGTGAACTGAGCAATACTCACAAGGCATCAGCCATCACAGAAGCTAACCCAAGCCTTGATGTCCAGGTTCTTTAATGGGGGTTGGTCACGTCGGCATGACCAATCACCCATGCGGTTGATCTTAATTACTCAGTATATTAGTCAGGGTTCTCCAAAGAAACAGGACAACAAGATGTATATACAGAAAGATTTTTTTTTTTAAGGAATAAGCTCATGCAATTGAGGCTTGGCAAGTCCAAAATCTGATGGAGTAGCCCAACAGGCTGGAGAATTAGTGAAGAGTTAGTTCAAAAACAATCTGCTGACATAATTCTTTCTTTGCTTTACCATAGACTTCACACACACACACACACACACACACACAAACACACACAGAATTCCTTCCTCATCAGGGAGGGTCAGTCTGTTCTCTTATGACCTTCAACTGATTAGATAAGGCCCACCCACACATTATGGAGGTTAATCTGCTTTACTCAAAGTCTACTAAGTTATATGTTAATCTCATCTAAAAAAGATCTTGACAGAAACACCCAGAATAATGTTCCAGCAAGTATCTGAGCTCTGTGGGCTCACCAAGTTGACACATAAAATTAACCATCATACTCAGTCTCAATTCCTCCAGAAATAAAGTTGATACCAGTTTTATTACTGGTTTTATTGCCTAAATTTTATTACCCAAGGCCCTCGCCATTAATCACATTATTAGCGTAAACTATCTAGAGTGGCCTAAGACGTCAGGTAAACAAAGGCACTCTTAACAGTCAGAATATTCCAAAGCCTTACAAGTTATTTCCCAGTAGCCAGGTAAGGGCCAAACTTTCTTTGAAATGTACAAGGTTTGGACAACTAAAACCTGCTGAGTTAATCATTTACCACATAAGGGTTAGGGTGGAAGCAAGAGCAAGTTAGATTTTTGTCTAGATATACAGCAAAAATCCAGATGCTAGATAGTAGTAGTTTGGGTGAGGGGGGTAAAGATGAAAGTCGTGAGAGGTGGGCACACACCTTGGAAATCTTTTCCTGGTAGAACCAACAGGGTTTGTTGTTGAACTGGGTATGAGATGTGACAGAAAGAGAAGAGTTGGGGTAATGCCAAGGTTTTTGGCCTAAGTAGTTAGAAACATGGGGAAAACTGAGGAGGAACAGGTTTGGGGCAGCAGAGAAGAAATAGTGAGTTTGGTTTGGACATGTTATGCCAGCCTCATCACAGTTCCCAGTGGAGATGGACAGTCAGCAGTTGTATTTACAAGTGAGGAGAAATTGGAACTGGAGATAAATATATTGGGAGTCGTCAGTCCATGGGTTAAGTGAGGAGAATGAAGAAAATTATGTCCAAGAACTAAGCCCTTGGCCATGCCCACATTGAGAAAGAATGACTAAAGGGAATATCAAAGGATCACCTGGTAAAGGAGCAGAAAAAGCAAGACTGAGTGCTTATCTGCAAGCCAAGGGAAGAGCTTTTCTTTCTTCTCTTTTTTTTTTTTTTTTTTTTTTTTTTTTTGAGACGGGTCTCACTCTGTCACCTAGGCTGGAGTGCAGTGGCACGATCTCGGCTCACTGGAACCTCCACCTCCTGGATTCAAGTAATTCTCCTGCCTCAGCCTCCTGAGTAGCTGGGACTACAGGAGCATGCCACCATGCCCAGCTAACATTTTGTATTTTTAGTAGAGACGTGGTTTCATCATGTTGGCCAGGCAGGTCTTGAACTCCTGACCTCATAATCCACCGCCTTGGCCTCCCAAAGTGCTGGGATTACAGGCATGAGCCACCGTGCCAGCCAGGAAGAACTTTTCAAGAAGCAAATGGTCAATTGTGCCAAATGCCTATCGACAGGTCAAAGAGAATATCTTTGAAATGATCATTGAATTTGGCAATTTAGATGTCATGGGTGACCTTGCCAAGAGAAGATTTCAAGATGAGTGGAGATAAAAATCTGTTTAGAGTTGGTTAAAGAGGAAATAGGAACAGAAGTAGGAATGGTGACTACTGGTAGCTGTTGTCCTTGTCATATTCTCCTCCCTGCCATGCCTTGGAATCTACTCATTGCCCCGTGGCCCCTGCCTAGAATTCTGTATGTTCTGGCTTTTAACTAATGCTGTCTTCAACATGCTGGCCTCGGCAGTGGAGTGGTTCTAGGGAAGTCACACTTCCTTTTACTGCTCTTCCCTAATCCCCCTGCAGCCATGACACCATGTAGACTATACTGTATGTTTGAACAGACTTCATGGAAGTATGGAAGTTAACTGGGGAATAATGTAACCTGATGTCAAATATAACCATTCCAGCGTTCAAGAGGAAAAGGACCAAAAATTAAACTCTTCATGGGGGGGTCCCCTCATGGGCACACACCAGCTTCTAATCTTTCTCCCATCTCTAGAGTTTTTTTCCTCCTCTCCCCTCTCCCATTGAGCCATCACAAGGTTGGTCTTACCTTAAGATTCATGCCCCATCACCACTATAGCAATTCCTGGGACACAATGATTCCTCCATGATATGATCTGCAGAGTCTTTAGCTGAGAATATACCATTGAGGACAATGTGAGTCATGTTTCTTCAGATTTAAAGCTTCATATCCAAGTCATTCCACACCCTAAAGCAATGGTTTCCAAAGGTTGGCATGCCTAAGAGTTACTCTGGGACTTGGTGTGTAAACCAAAAGTATCTGAGATAGGTCTCAATCAATTTAGATTTTTTTTGCCAGGGTTAGAGGACACACACAGAAGAAAAAACACAGAATCACAGAAACAGTCTATGGTCTACCTTTCTCAAAAGATGACTTCGAGGGCTTCAATATTTAAAGGGGAAAAACAGGCTGGAGGGGAAACAGGGAGGGCATGGCAATCCACATGTTGCAAGAGAAAAGGAACAGGTAGGGGAACAGTCAGTTATATATATTGTCTCATGCTCAGTAACTCAGCACTTTACAAAAGATAAGGTGAACATAAATTAGCTACCTACGGAGATACTTAACCTTTTATCTGTAGCTCTCTGCTTAGGGACAAAAGGAAAGGCAGTTTCTGGCATGACTCAGCTTTCAGCTTCATTTTTTTTTCCTTCTGGCAGAGTGAATTGGAGTCCTAAGTTTTTATTTTCCTTTCACAAGTGTAAATGCACATTCCTGAGCTCCACCCCCAGAAATGCTCATCCAGTGAACTTTAGGTGAGGCCCAGGAGCCTGCACTTTCAAATGATACATTAAGAAAAGCATTTCTTAAGCAGGTGGTTCTCTGACTTCCCCGGTTAGGGATCTGCATTCTTCAGAAGTTCCTTGTGTCTTCTGTGGTGCTGAGACCCTTCAATTCTAGGTCATACCTGTGTAACTTATAAAGTGGTTTATTTTGGGTCACAATCCTGCAGGCTCTGCAGGAATCATGGTGCCAGCATCTGCTTCTGGAAGCTTACAGTCATGGTGGAAGGCGAAGGGGAGCAGACACATCACAGGGCAAGAGCTGGAGCAAGAGATTCAGGGAGGTAAGTTCTCAGACTTTTAAACAACCAGATCCCGCATGAGCTAACTGAGCAAGAACTCACTTATCACCAAGGGGATGGTGCTAATCCATTTAGGAGGGATCCATCCCCATGATCCAATACCTCCCCCTAGACCCTTCCTCCAACATTGAGAATCACATTTCAACATGGGATTTGGAGGCGACAAACATCCAAACCATATCAACACCCCCATTGAAGCTGGTTGGACCTGCAGGAACTCATGCAAGAGATGGGGGGTGGGGAATGAGGGGAGCTTCCAAGACCCCTCTTACCTCCCTACCAGAGATGATGCAGTCATTAGCACAGAATGGAAACATAACTTGAATCAAGCTACTGATTAAACTTGGGTCTGGTTTCTTGGCTGAGGTCAAAATACATTCATTTCCCTGTCCCTAGGGCTCACTCAATTTTATAGGTCAGTCCTTGGCAAGCCCTATTGACAGAAAAGTAAGTGAAATAAAATAACTGGCCCTTTGGACCAAAAGTTCTGTTAAACAATATGCAAGACTCAAGCTTGCATATTTGTCTCCTATGACACTTGGCCTCTGACTGCTATTGGGCTGATGGTCCAATGACATCATTTCGGCCTCTCCGGGGAGCATTTCCTGCTAAAGATCCTTCCTTATAACACCTCCTATTGCCTCACCCTCTTCTACCCAGGAAGTACTTTCTCTTTGTTCTCTTCCACGGCTCACAGTGACATCAGTGATCCTTGACAGCCAGAGCCAAAGTGGCTTGAAAGATGGGGGAAGCCCACCCAGGCTCAGACACATGGGCATGCCCAGCTCCCCCCAGAACAGTTTCAGGCCCCACTTGAAGCATCAGGCTAAAGAAATACCCTCTGAGGCAAGATTTCTAACTTGTTAATGTGTTAGCAGCAGAATGCTTTTTCCCTCTCAAGATTTATACAAAACCCACTGTACACTTGTGCAAAAACCAGATAAAAGTAATCTTTCATGATTCAAATTGAGTTTGGAGCTTACAGCCCAGCCATCTCCGCCTTTGCTACCCTCTCGGCAGTGCCGTAAATGAAGTGGCTTGAAAAGTCCCTGTTCAGTAAGATCACCGTGACTCGTAGAACCTTCACAGCTTTGGGCTCTGGGTCTTCCCAGCCTTGAGTCATCTCTTACACAGAAATGACCTGGATCCTCTTCTTCTACCTAAATGAGAAATCTTGCACATCTGTGAAGTCCTGAACCTTCCATCTGACTGCAAATTCGTAAGATAAGATTGAACAACACAACCCCTGATGAAGAGTCAATGCTTCCCACAGGTCCTGGGGCTCGCCTCCCAGTTCAGGGACCTCTTTCCTGCTGGGATCAGCACCACCTGGGAACATGCCCTCTGCCTTGTCAGAAATCGTGTTCACAGCCTACTCGCTTCTTGACCCATCACATTCTTCTCTTCCCCATCTCTCTTCTCAGATCTATATTTTTCTTTCTCTTATCTTTGTCCCTCAAAGTATTGCCCAAGCAGCCATTTCATAGGTTAGCAAAAAGACCTGATGTGAAGGTTGTCTGTAAACAGTGGTAAAATAGGACACCGAAAAAAAAAGCAGCATTAATTTAAAAAGGCCAGGAATTTCCACTAAACACACAGGATTGTTATAAATGCCAACACTTCCTTTTTACAACACACATCACATAGAAAAAGTGTAGTAAGAGGGGTCAGGAATTTTTTCTTAGAGTTTGTCTTTTACATGCACCTAAATAAATAAGAGCATATATATAGTTTCAGTTTTAAGTCAAGACCCAAACCTTTTCTTTAAACAGTAGATAGGTAAGTGTAACATTACAAAGTAATGATAAATTAACTTCACATTTCATTTTTTTCAGTACTTGGTGCATGCAGAAAATGCTAAAAGGTACATTTGAAGCAGAAAAATGTTGTGCATGTCTGAAATTTCTTCCTGGCTTCTATTTCCAATTACTTATTTAATGATACTAAGCAAGTCTGAATGAGAAAGAACATCTATTCATTCAAACCCCTGAGATGTGGAAGAAAAAATCTGATTGTGTTCCATATAGGTATGTGCTATGTAATGCATTTTTTAATGATCAGAAAAATGCCCACAAAATTTGATGATATGTCACTGATGTAAACTGAGAGCTTGAATTTGCTCATGGAAGGCATCATCAGCCAATGTAAAATACCTGGGATGCTAAGCCTACCAGGCTTACATATTAATTACGTTAGGTTGTGATGACCCATTAAAATGATGCTCCCAGAGGCAGCTGACCCACACTTTTGAACCTTTCCTGGTACTTTAGATGCAGTGATCATTCCCATGTCTAAATACTTACTACCAAATATGAAATGGATAATAGTGTGTCCTATAGACAGCATAGGAGGGTCAGGGACCCACCTGGGTCTAGGAGAACAATGGCATCAGAAACATGGATGCTGTCAGGGGTCCCAGAGGACTCATCCCCTCATGTGGGCTTCATTCTCCTTACCACGTACCACCTTCTTTCACACAGCAGGAGAAATGACCACCTTGTCTCCAGCTCTAGAGAGGCCGTGGGACCTGATGTCTCAGTTACCAGTTCCAAAATCTCAGGGTAGTATCAGCGGGGTCAGGCTTCCATCCCCAAACTGGACGGGGGGAAAGGGCCTGTGTAAAGACCATTTCACATGCTCCCCTGAAACACAAGATTGGAAGGAGCATTTCCCAGCAGAAGGCAGCGCTGTTCTAGGCGTACAAAACCCCAGATGTCAAAACAATTTCTGAATATTTATGTTGTATTTGGTGAGGCAATATACAAAAACACTTAAAGAGCAATTAAGCACAGGAGCTATCCCTAGACAATACATGATCTCTTATCAAAAAGATATCATGGGAAACTTGGAAAACATCATGCCAAATTAAAGAAGCTAGTCACAAAGAGCACATATTATATGATTTCATATATAGAAAATGTCCAGAATAGGCCAGGCACAGTGGCTCATGACTGCAATCCCAGCACTTTGGGAGGCTGAGGCAGGCGAACTGCTTGAGGTCAAGAGTTGGAGGCCAGCCTGGCCAACGTGGTGAAACCACATCTCTACTAAAAAATAAAAAAGAATTTAAAAAATTAGCCAGTTGTGGTGGCACATGCCTGTAATCTCAGCTACTCAGGAGGCTGAAGCATGAGAATCGCCTGAACCCAGGAGGCGGAGGTTGCAGTGAGCTGAGATCAAGCCACTGCACTCCAGCCTGAGTGACAGAGCGAGACTCTGTCTCACGGAAAAAAATGTCTAGAATAGACAAATTTATAGACAGAAAATTGATTCACAGTTGTATTGGCCTGGGGTGGGGTGGGAAGATAGCATTAGGAGGAAATGGGAAGTCATCATAAATGTGTGTCATGGTGGTTTTCCGCACAGATCAACCAGTCACCAAGGTATTAAGCCCAGCATCCATTGGCTGTTCTTCCTGATTATTGACTATTCTTCCTGGATAACCAAAGGGAATTGGTTATTCCCTTTCCTCATCAACCCCTGCCCCTCCGACAGTCCCCAGTGTGTGTCATTCCCCACCATGTATCCATGTGTTCTCATTGTTTAGCTCCTACTTCTAAGTGAGAATATGTGGCAGTCACCATATCTTGAGAATGGACATTGGCTGCAGAGCAGGAGCAGAGTCCAGAAGGCCCCCGCTGTGCCAGACATTAACTCTGCAGTTGCCGAATTTAGCCTTCAATTTTCTAGATTGTGTGAGAGAATTGGGGTGATGGCTATTGTATAATTTTAACAACCAGGATAACCAGGGTTCTGGTGCACTCTCACTGAATACTAGCTTGATTCCCATTGAATATAGATTGAAAACACCTGATATTAGCAGTAAATATTATGACTTCTGAGGCTATATACAGTTAGACAATAAGAATCTAGCTTTTCCTGGGCCTGAATCATATGAGAAAGTTGAAAATGTTTGTGTCCACTATTACTACTAATCAGTGAATATATTTTATAGAGAAGGGAAGAGGACTTAAAAAGGGGGCATCTTCATCTAGCTGACACCAACAACTCAGCCAAGACAAAGTTACTGGAGATTCCTAACAGAATTGATCTTCCTTTTGGAACAAAAGACTAACCAACCTTGAAATTATGACTTAGTTCTTAGCATATAGCACAGTGGAGAAGAGCTCAACCTCTGGAATCAGACTGTATGAGTTTCAGCGATGGCCCCATCGCTTACTGGGTGTGCCTCAGTTTCCCCATCTGTAAAATGGGGATCACAACATCCAACTCATAGGATTTTTTTCTTAGAGTTAAATAAGCAAGTGGATGTCAAATGCCTGAGACCCGGTGAGTGCTCACTAAATGTTAACCATTACTGTTAGCTGTGAGGAACAACCCACCAGGATTAGAGGACTCCAGGAGGGAAAGGGCCAGAAACGGAATTATAATAAGAACCCATATGGTCTGGAGACAAAAATTCTAATTGCCACTCTGCCCACGATAAAGCTATTTTCATCTTCAATACTAATCTCCTTTTTTTCTATATGTCATGCCACCAAGGAAGCATTGGTGAATGTCTAGTAAACTAGACGATTATATGTTTTCTCTAACTCATAAAATGAGGTGATTTCCAAATGTTTATCCCTAGGTTTGTTGATGTAATGAGCACATTCTACTTGTTACTAAATAGAAAAAAGAATCTGAAGAAAAGCTTAGAGGCGTAGCATTCTAACATTAGGCACTAGGGGGAAATCTTATTTGATGGATGTGGTAGGAGGTATTATCTCTTATAAATATGGGATGCTTCTTTAGGAGGCAAAATTGTTTCAAATAAAAAAAATAGAAAGCCTTTTTATGACTGTTGAAGACGATATGCCCAAATGGATAATGCTTTAAAACTTGGAATGGATTGCACATTTAAAACTAAACTCTAAAATAAAATAGACATTCTAATTCCAAACAAGAGCATCCCTGGCATTTCCTGTAAAAGGAAAGGACTTTTGGTGTGAGTTGGGCCTTGGCAAAGGACACAGCCTGGCAGGCCCCAGCGCATGTTGCCAGATGAAATATGCATGCCCAAGTGGCTGATTGGCTCTAACTGAGATACATGGTGGCCCAAGGTTTCTGAGGCTCCTCAGAATGCAGGTGGCCTTCGTATCAGACTGGCTGAGGGGCAAGGCAGAAGTCAATTGATACGATTCAGCTCTGTGTCCCCATGCAAATCTCATCTCAAGTTGTAATTCCCAGTGTTAGGGGAGGGACTTGGTAGGAGGTGATCGGATCATGGGGGCAGATTTCCCCCTCGCTGTTCTCATGATAGTGAGTTCTCATGAGATCTGATGGTTTAGAAGTGTGTAGCACCTCCTCCCTTGCACTCTCTCTCTCTCTCCTGCCACCCTGTAAAGAAGGTGCTTGCTTCCCCTTCGACTTCTGCCATGATTGTAAGTTTCCTGAGGCCTCCCAGTCATGCTTCCTATTAAGCCTGTGGAACTGTCAGTCAATTAAACCTCTTTTCTTCATAAATTATCCAGTCTCAGGTAGTTCTTTATAGCAGTGTGACAACAGACAAATACATCAATCGACTACCCAGTGGCTCCTTAAGGAGCATGACCAGCTGAACTGCTGTATTGTGGAGTATCAGAACAAGGGCCAGGCTAACAAGTGCATCCAGCATCAGCATGGGTTACAAAGAAATCTCATTTATTTTGCTACCGTCACAGACACCAGCCCAACCAGTACTTCAAAAGCAATGAGACAATCTTCCAGTTGGCTGTTGTGAGGAGTAATTGAATGTAATCCATCTCTTAGAAAATGGAGACAGGATTTTTACCAACTTAATTGCTTAAAACATGAACGAAAGCCCTATGGCTCTTTTAAAAACTGTGAGTGTGCAAAGAAAGCTAACTTAACTGTATTCTCAATGTAAATATTTATTTTAATGATTAAGCAAATCCCTCAATAAGGTGACCCCAGGTGTTCTCTTTCCTGGATGTGGAGCATGTTTGGATAACAAAGACATCACTGGCATCTGCAAGCCTACTTTTTAGTTTCAACCCAAAGAGGAAATTGAGTAGGCCTCAGGCAGGAATTGGTGGGACTCCTGACTGAGCCCTTGCTACATAGACAGGTAACTCTGTGCTCCTTCCTACCAGTTTGTCAATGCCTTGAAATAAAGCTTACTTTTCCACACAATCCTCCTTCTCCTAATACTTCTCCTCCTCCTTTCTTCCCAATAAAGGAATCTGATGGAATCAAGAATGTAATGAAGCAATAAAAGGCCTAATTGAAGCTGAAAGCCAATTCCATCCCTGACCTTTTGCAGGAACTTATTTTGGTCACTGAAGTGTTGATGTTGCACTACAGTGTTATATCATGCCCTGGTTACCAGGAAGAATATCTCCCCAACCTCAGGACAATCAAGGTTTCTCCTCCCTGATTTTGGCAAATATGGAGAAGCTACCCATAAGGAATGAAAGCTGAACCTAATAAGCATTAGGGCAGTGTGTCTAAAGTGCTCTCAAGGAAATCTGGAGGCATCTTTAGAGCCTTTCTCCAGACACATCACATGTATCATTTAGGGTAAGCCAGTCTAGTTGCTGTAATAAGCAAACCCCAAAATAAGTAATGGTGCCAGCATAATAAAAGCTTATTTCCTTCTCAAAGTCCAAAGGGAAGTTGCTGCAGGCCGGGCGCGGTGGCTCAAGCCTGTAATCCCAGCACTTTGGGAGGCCGAGGCGGGCGGATCATGAGGTCAGGAGATCGAGACCATCCTGGCTAATCTGGTGAAAGCTCGTCTCTACTAAAAATACAAAAAAATTAGCCGGGCGTGGTGGTGGGCGCCTGTAGTCCCAGCTACTCAGGAGGCTGAGGCAGGAGAATGGCATGAACCTGGGAGGCGGAGCTTGCAGTGAGCCGAGTTCAGTGCCACTGCACTCCAGCCTGGGCGACAGAGTAAGACTCTGTCTCAAAAAAAAAAAAAAAAAAAAACAGAAGTTGCTGATTGGACACAGCCTCCTTCATCTTGTGTTTCTGAATATATTCAATACGTGGCTTTCAAGTTTTCTTAGTTTGTCTGCATCAAGCCAAAGAAACGGGAAATAGCACAGAGTTCCCATTAGAAATCTTTGTGGCCCAAGTCCTTTCTGCTCAGTTACATAGCCAGACATTACTGCCTGAGAGGCAAGGAAAGATAGGGTAACTGTGGGCTCCAGGAAGAAGAGAAGCGAGTTCGTTGAATAACTAGGCAGTTTTTGTGTGTGGATTATATTGCTGTCCCTTCTTCATCACCCTCCTTGTCTACATGATCTTCCAATAAAACCTTGCAGGACCCTCTCACTATGCAATGGCATACATCACTTCCCCTTCCCTTTGGGTATGGCCATAAGACACTTTTGGACCATAGAATGAGACAGGAGTGACAGGTTGCCAGTTTTGAACCTTGGCTTGAGAGATCCTGTATGGGTGCACCTGCTCTCTTTGCCTCTCATCACCATGAGAAGAGCATACCTGGGCTAGCCTGCTTGTCCTCAGGCAGGATCAGGGACATGCAGCAGAGCCAAGTCTCTCTAGTCTAGCCCAGCTCAGATCAAACTACCCTTAACATCAGATTCATGAGAATTATCATTTTAAGCCACCGAGTTTTGGAACAGTTTGTTAGGGAGCAGATTTCGGCAATATCTGTTACATTCTGCTACATCACCACTCAACAAATATTTTTTAACTCTGAAACAGAAATCTACAACAGTTTCACTACTGATATCACAATTAAAAGTCAATCCTTCTTCCCTTCAAGCCTTATTTAAAAAGCATATGTAATAGTCCAAAATTTAGCTAAAATTAAGTTCATTTTAGATTACCTAACAAACCTTTGGTGAATTGGAACACAAATGTCTGTTTTTAAATGCATCCATTCCTATATTAACAGTTTATGATTTGGTTGAGGGAACTAATGCATTGTTGCTGGTTATGAAACAGAATAATATGGTTATAGTTAGCATCATTTTCATATACTTTATAAAGAAAATTTTTATGATGATATAATAAAGATATGAGCGTTGTTTGTTCTGAAAGCTCCAAAAATGTACTTTGAGTTCCCATGGATCAAGTTGAAGGGTAATTATTTATTTACTCAACAGACTGTGTTTCAATGCAGTTGTTGTGCCTCTTACTGAAACGGCTCCGTTGTCTGCGGTATATACCCTGGCTCTTGGTCTCGGTCAAGAAAGAATTCAGGACACGGACATACATGAGCAGTGGGTTCAGGAGCAGAAAGTGTAATAGCAAAAGAAAAGAGAGAGAAAAAGCTTCCTTATGTTGAGAAAGCAGGTCGCCGAAAAGAGGGTTTATCTTTTGTGGTGGAACGCAATTGGTTTGTACAGAGGCTTGAGGAGGCGATGTTTGATTTACATAGGGCCCAGGGGATTGCTTTGACCAGGTGTGCCATTTACATAGCCCACAAAAAGGCTGGCCCTCCCACCCTAGTCTTTTATTATGCAAATGCGGCCTCCACCTGGCAGAGGCCTTGATATCTGTACACGTGATTTTATCTGGAGGCTGCCATGACACCTGGCACATGTGATGACAAGGAAAAGAGGGCGGGAAACGCCATATTGAATGTACCTGACTTCCAGGTACAGCTGCTTCCATTTACATATAAAAGCTTCTAGTTTGCATGTCTATGCCTGACTTCTCAGGCTGCTTTCTGTTAGAGAAGAAATAGTTTGGGGGTTCCTTCTTTTTAAAGGAAAATTCCAGGGAGAACTTTCACCCTTTCTAGCGCCTAAAAATAATTTCTTAATAACTACTGTATTATAACTTCAAAATCTCTAGAGATATGGGGAGACAGACACTGGTTGGTTAATGACCAGCCAATGATATGAGTAACCCTAGTTGCAATCAGGTGTAATGGGTGGGGTGGAGAGAAGAAGGAAAGAACAAAGGGAGACAGGAAGTGAGGGAAAAAGGAAGAAAGGATGGAGATGACACAACACATGCCTGGCCAAGAGATGAAAGGAATGGTCAGATCCCAGAGAAAAGCATATGAGAAAAGCAGCCACCTCAAAACATGCCTAGTCCAGGCACCACCTAGTGTGACTGTCACAGGACTCCAGGCAGAAGCCATCACATATGCAAGAATCTAGAGCAAAGAGAACATGCCTCTGTTATTAGTCGTCAATGCTCTTTCATCCCTTTATTAGTTCTTCGTGTTATAATCTACTATTTCTCGCTACTCAATACTGAATGAAGTGCCCCTCCTCTGTTTGTGAGCTCCCTGGATTCACCTCATCCTATTATCCCGCACATCATCTAAAAATTGCTGTCTACACATCTATATTCCCTACTAGCATGTAAGTTATATAGAGAGCAGAGACTATGTCTATTTTGTTTATCCATCATCTCCCTGGCACTAACACAATATCTGACATGCAGCAGGCATTCAGTAAGCATTGTCCGAGTCATGAGTATCATTTACCTATATGCCTTTGTGCTTGAGGAATCATGAATATCTACACAATGGATATATGCATTTGCAAACATTTCATTCACTCTGTCTATTTCAGGAGGATTTTTTTTTGCTTTAGCTTCCTGAAATCCTTGGAGATTCTGAGCTCAAATATTAAAAGATAGCTACATAAATAAACATTTAAAATATACAATAAATTCTTGTCATCCTTGAATTATTCAAATGGCTTTGAGAATATTTCCACTGATATGATGATTATAATTGCCATTTCATTTTCATACTTTTTTTTTGAGACGGAGACTCGCTCTGTCACCAGGCTGGAGTGCAGTGGCACAATCTTGGCTATTGCAACCTCTGTCTCACGGGTTCAAGCGATTCTCCTGCCTCAGCCTCCTGAGTAGATGGGACTACAGGCATGCACCACCATGCCCAGCTAATTTTTGTATTTTTAGTAGAGACAGGGTTTCCCCATGTTGGCCAGGATGGTCTCTTGACCTCATGATCGGCCCACCTCAGCATCCCAATGTGCTGGGATTATAGGCGTGAGCCACCACACCTGGCCTTATAAACATGCACTATCTAATGACATTTTGGTCAACCAGGGACCGTGGCCCTAAAAAATTATAATGGAGCTAAAAAATTCCTACCACCTAGCGACATTGTAGCCATCGTAAAGTCATAGCACAATACATTACTCACATGTTTGTGGTGTAAATACACCTACTGCAGTGCCAGCCATTTAAAAGTGGAGCAGATACATTTATATACAGCACATAAAGCTTGATAATGTTAATAAATAACTATTACTGGTTTGTGTATTTACTATACTATACTATTGTTGTTAATTTAGAGCGTACTACTTCTATTTTTTTTTAATTACCTATAAAACAGCCTCAGACAGATCCTTCAGGAGTCATCCCAAAAGAAGACATTGTTATCATAGGAGATGACAGCTCCATGCGTGCTATTGCCCCTGAACACCTTCTAGTGGGACAAGATGTGAAAGTGAGAAACAATGATATTTTTAAAGTTTAAAAGTTAAAAAAAAAAAAAAAGAGCCAGGTGTGGTGGCTCACGCCTATAATCCCAGAACTTTGGGAGGCCAAGGCCGGTGAATCACTTGAGGTCAGGAGTTCGAGACCAGCCTGGCCAACATGGTGAAACCCCATCTCTACTAATAATACAAAAATTGACTGGACGTGGTGGCCTATGCCTGTAATCTCAGCTACTCAGGAGACTGAGGCAGGAGAATCACTTGAACCAAGGAGGCAGAAGTTGCAGTGAGCCGAGATCATGCCACTGCACTCCAGCCTGGATGACAAGGTGAGACTCCATCTCAAAAAAAAAAAAAAGTAGAAAATAATTGCTAAATAGAAAAAAAAACTTTTGGAATAAGAATATCAAGAAAGAAAGTAATTTTTACAGCTGTACAATGTGTTTGTGGGTACTTTTTTCTTCCATTAATTTATTTATTTATTTATTTATTTATTTATTATTTTTTATTTTTGAGACAGGTTCTCACTTTGTTGCCCAGGCTGGAGTGCAGCAGGACAATCATGGTTCACTGCAGCCTCGACCTCCCAGGCTGGAGTGATCCTCCCACCTCAGCCTCCTTAGTAGCTGGGACTACAGCTATGAGCCACCAGACCTGACTAATTTTTGTATTTTTTGTGGAGAAGGGGTCTTGCCACGTTGCCCAGGCTGGTCTCTAACTCCGGGGCTCAAGCAATCTGCCTGCCTCGGCCTCCAAAAGGTGTTTGTGTTTTAAGCTAAATGTTATTATAAAAGAGTCAAAAGTTAAAATTTAGAAGTTTGTAAAGTAAAAAAGTCACAGTAAGATAACTTGTTATTGAAAAAAGAAAAATATTTTTATAAGTCTAATGTAGCATAAGGCTACAGGGTTTATAAAGTCTGCAGTAGTGTCCAATAATGTCCTAGGTATTCACATTCACTCACTTCTCATTCACTGACTCACCTAGAGCAACTTCTAGTCCTTCAGGCTCCTTTCTTGATAGGTACCCCATACATGGGTACCATTTTTTTAAATCTTTTATATATTTTTACTGTATCTTTTCTGTTTTGATATACAAATACTTACCATCATGTTACGATTGCCTACAATATTCAATACAGTGACATGCTGTACAGGTTTGTAGCCTAGGAGCAATAGGCTATACCTTATAGGCTAGACACGTAGCAGGCTATGCCATCTAAGTTTGTGTAAGTACACGCTATGACGTTTGCACAACAGTGAAATCACCAAGCAATGCATTTCTCCTAACCTATCCCCATCATCAAGCAATGCATGACTATTTATTGCAATATCATTTTATTGCATATTTGTCATGACATTTTTATTTTAAAAAAGTATTTTCTGAAAATGTTTAAGATATTTTTAATCCTTTTAAAAGTGAATAGCTAACTTAGATCCTTTTGGATTTGTGACCTTTTGCAAACATCAGTTCATACTAAATAATGTTTATGGTACAAATTTAATATTACCTTTTTTCTGCAAAGACTACAATCACTCTACTTGAGAATCTTCTGCTGTTCTGTCTAACTCTTCTAATGCACCTTGCATCATATCTGATTAAATCTAATTGCTTTCACATTTCCCAACCATGTTATCTGAGAGTGATTGCAGGATCAAATTTTATATGAATTTCTTCAAAATATGCCAATTTATACTGGTGAAGAGATTATCAGACATAATCTCTGAATTATTCCCCAAAAATGTAATTATAATTGGCACAGTCGAGGCCACATCTCCTAGTAATGAATTCTAAGTATGTACAGTACCTGGAACAAAGATTCGTTCTGGATATTTCAGCCCAAAGTCTAGTTTGCCCATGTTGTTTTTGCAGCCACATCAACACCATTGCCTTACACTGCCCTCGTCAGTCTTTTAAATTAATGCCTGTTATCTAAAGAAGATTTTTTGATTCTTCAATTAAGTAAAAAAAAAAAGGTGTGCACTTTACAACAGGTGTAGAATCAATGAAATACTCATTTCGACCTTCTTGTTTTTGTCTTCTGATTCAAACATATGTACAACAAATGTTAGTTGTCTGACATTTTGTCCCTGCCACAATCTGATTGAACTGAGTAACACATACCTTTTAAATTTTTATGTGTGGCATTTTGTCTCACTTAATTACCTGTTAAATTAATCATTACGAATCAAATTCTCCATCCTAGAGAGTGATAATTTATTTTACAATTTCTTATCCATCTTACATGTTTGGCCATTCAAATTTTGAAATTATTTCTAGCAAACTTAGAAAATTTTCTTTTTTCAGTAAATATTGTGCCTCAGAAATCTTTGTCATGCTTTGTTTTGAAGAACATCATGCCAATGTTCTCGATCAGCACTGACTTGTCTGTGTGGAATACTATTGATTGTTCACTGTTTATTCAGCCTTTTTGTTCCATTGTAGTAATTGCATATGGGACTTTTTGTGTACAAGTGACATTTCACGACTGCAATTAAATCTTCATTCAGGGAAGAATATGAAGTTGCAAGTTTGCCAGGATTTCTTCTGATGTGTTCAAGTTACGAATGTGATTAGAAAAATGTTCTGACTCTCTTTCTTTTCTTTTTTTGACCAATAACTAAATCCTCATTAAATAAGCAATTTGCAATGCACTGTTTGCATATCTTATGTGGGTTATATTGAATAGAAATCTGCTCCTTTTCATTGTTTTCCACTTCTAAAAATTTAAGCACACTACTTCTTTGAAATTTTTCTTTTTTCAGCTTTTTTTTTAATTTTTCTGAGCTACATTTTTATACTGTCAGTTTTAATTTCTATCCAATCTCTATTTGCATTCATTCTCAATGACCTAGGAACTTCTGCCTCTCAAAGCCTCCCTGTAATATGACAGTGTTCATCTCTGATACACAGCCCCTAAACTTTGTGGTTGCCTTTTTTCCCCTAATGTACATCCTTTATAGTTTTTTTACATTTTATTGTGCTAAATATATATAACTTAAAATTTACAATTTTAACCATTTTTAAGTACCACATTTCAGCATTAAGTACATTTACAGGTTGTGCAAGCATCACCACTGTCTATTTCCAGAACTTTTTCGTCATCCCAACTGCAACTCTTTACCTGTTAAACAAGAACTCCTGGGCCGGACGCGGTGGTTCACACTTATAATCCTAGCTCTTTGGGAGGCTGAGGTGGGTGGATCACTTGAGGTCAGGAGTTTGAGCCGAGATCATGCCAATGCACCCCAGCCTGGGCGACAGATCAGGACTCCATCTCAAAAAACAAAAACAAAAACTCCCTACTTTCCCAGCCCCTGGAAACCACTGGTCTACTTTCTGTCTCTATGAATTTGATTACTCTAAGGATCTCATATAAGTGGAAAAATATAATATTTGCTTTTTGTGATTGGCTTGTTTCACTTAGCATAATGTCCTCAACGTTCATTTATGTTGTAGCATGTGTCAGAATTTCCTAATTTTTAAGGCTGAATGATATTCCATTGTATGTATTGTGTGAGTCCATTCACACTGTGATAAAAAGGAATACCTGATGCTGGGTAATCTATCAAGAAAAGAGGTTTATTTGGCTCACAGTTCTGCAGGCTGTACAAGCACGACACCCACATCTGCTCGGCTTCTGCTGAGGCCCAGGAAGATTTTAGTCATGGTGGAAGGGAAGGAGAGCTATTGTATCCCTGGCAAGAGGGGGAACAAGAGAGCAAGGAGAAAATGCCTAGGCTGTTTTAAACAATCAGATCTCGCATGAACTCATTACCACAGGGGATGCAGCAAGCCATTCGTGAGGGATCTGCCCCCGTGACACAAACACCTCCCATCAGGCCCACCTATGACACTGGGAATCACATTTCAACATGAGATTTGGAGGGGACAGATATCCAAACCATATTATGTATTTACCACATTTTGTTTGTCCATTCATCTATTGATGGACATTTGGGTTGTTTCCACATTTTAGTTACTGTGAATAATGCTGCTATGAACATTGGTGTGCAGGGCTCTATTTGAGTCCCTGATTTTAGTTTTTTGAGTTTATACCTAGGAACGAAATTTCTAGGTTATACAGTAATTCTATATTTAACTTCTTGAGAAACTTGTGGCTGCCACTTGCACCTAAATTTTCTTCTGCTCCTTTAATATTCAGTTGTTTTAAAAGGTGAAGTTCTTCAGAATATTTTTCTGGGTATTGTGTGTGGGACAGAGCTAACTACATTTTAATGTGAATGGATATTCAATTGTATCAGACTCATTTATTGTATAGTGTTTTTCTCCCGCTGCTTTGAAGCTCTAGTTTTGTAATACTCTAAATTGTCACATAAACATAGGTCTCTTTCTGGATTCCTACTTTTTCTATTGAGCCAATGTCCAGAGCTATACAAGAGCTCACATTGTGCTTTTTTCAAACTATTCTTAGTTTTTCTTGCACATTTTTTTCCTCTAGATGAACTTTAGACTCAAGTTTGTGAAATTCAGTTACAATTTTCTAGGAATGTTAATTAGAATTGTATTGATTGACAATTGAATAGGGAAGAAGCAACACTCACAATATCAAACTCTTGCATACAAAAACTTGGTATTTCCCTCCGTTAATTCAGATCAGCCTTTCCTTTCTCCACTAAAGATCTTCTGCATCCTCTTCACCTTATTTTTAAATTTTGTTGCTACTGTGAATGCGAAACAAGGATTTCTGTCTTTAAAATCATTCAGGAAAAGATCTATTTAATAATAGCAATATTATGCTTTAATCATTCCCATATTTTTAGACATTTAAGCTTTTTCAACTTTTGCTATTATAATTTAGAAAAAATGCTGCTATATATAAATCTTTGACTACATTATAGATTTTTTTCTTGGACTCTTTGGAATAGATTCTGCATATTTCTGGATCAGAGAGTAGGGACAATTTTAAGGTTCTTAAGACACATTCTTGATACATTGCTTTCCATTGCACTAAAAATCAAATTTAAACTCTTCCCCATTATCCCCACAGCCCTCCCTACACAGCTCTTGCCTCTCTCTCCAACATAATCTCTTGTCACTTTCTCCCCAGTCCACTGTGCTCCAGCCCCATTGGCCTTCTCTCTGTTTCTATAACACACCAAGCTTATTGCTGAAATTTTGATGGCTTAACACCATAAAAACTTATCCCCCACTCCTCCATCTTGCATCTACAGTATCTGGAACGTGTGGACTCCAAGACTGCTGCAGGCAGCAGAGGGGGCTGGAGGAAGCACCCTGGTTCTTAACTGCCTTGACCCAGATACCAAGATATCACATCTGCTCATAGTCCATTGACCAAAACCAGTCACATGACCCAGCCTCACTACAAAGAAGGGCTGGAAACATCAAGAAGACATGGAACATTTGGTGAGCACTGTCTGTCTCTGCCAAAATGCCTCCCAACCTCCCATTTGCCTTTGCCTTTCTATCGTTTCCCTGGAAGTCAAATAGTCTTTTATAGGATTATTAGCTATTAATAGCATGTATAATAACTACTGATATCTATTAATAGCATGTGTTCATGAATCACTTGCACATATCCTTTCCACAATTATTTATAGGAATTCTTATTTGTTCATTAGAGCTATTTATATATAAAAGCTATTTTAGGATTTCTTAATGATTTCATTTGTCATCCGTTCTAGTTTTTTTCTGTTTGATTTGCATTTAATGTTATGTATTTGGCTGGCATGGAGAAGTTTTTATTTTAAAATAATCTGTTTTCTATTCATTACATTTGACTAGCAATAATCAGATTTTTGTTGTTGTTGTTGCTTTTAAACCTGCTTTCTTATCAAAATACTACACATTCACCTATATCTTCTTATTCTTATGGTTAGACTTTTTACATTTTACTTTTCAATAAAAAATATAAAATTATTCGTTGCTAGCCAATGGAAAATATGAGGAACTCTCCCAGAACCTAAACATGAGATTACATAATGAACCAGAACACAGATATGCATCATTACCTTAGACAAATTGGCTACCAAGCTGAAGCTTTATTTAGCATGGAAGGTGTGGGGAATATGCTAAATAAAGGAGTATCAGAGAGATGCAGTCCAAGGAGAAAGTATCATAATCAAACCTATGTGGCAGATACATCCCTTTGGTAGAAACAGACACATCTGGCTATCATCAGCCACTAGAACATCCAACTCTCGTTCCAGTTTTGATTCTAGTTCTCAGTGTTCAATTATGAGTTGTCTTACCATGTTGCTTGCCAAATCTGGTCTGCTGTTTATGTTTGTAAATAAAAAATAAAGTTTTCTTTAAGCATAGCCACACCCATTCATTTATATTTTATATGGTTGCTTGCCTCTCCAACAACAGAGTTGGAGTAGTTATAACAAAAAGGCCAAATGGCCCACAAAACCTAAGATACTTACTATCTGGCCCTCTGCAGAACAAGCTTCCTGACTCCTGCCATAGTAAGTGGAAAAGGAACAAGATAAAAGGAACCTGGACCCTCTCTTTAACAAGACTTTAGAAATACACTTCTAAGCCAGCCATAGTGGTTCACACCTGTAATCCCAGCAGTTTGGATGGCCAAAGTAGGAGAATTGCTTGAGGTCAGGAGTTCAGACCAGCCTGGGCAACATAGCAAGAACCCCATCTCCATAAAAAATGTAAAAATTAGCTGGGCATGCTGGTGCAGGCCTGTAATCCTAGCTACTTGGAAGGCTGAAGGAGGATCACTTGAGCCCAGGCATTCAAACTATGATCACACCAATGCACTCCAGCCTGGGCTACAGAGCAAGACCCTGTTTCTGGGAGAAGAAAAAGGGAAAAAGAATAAAGGGTATTCAATTAGGAAAAGAGGAAGTCAAATTGTCCCTGTTTGCAGATGACATGATTGTATCTTTAGAAAACCCCATCGTCTCAGCCCCAAATCTCCTTAAACTGATAAGCAACTTCAGCAAAGTCTCAGGATACAAAATCAATGTGCAAAAATCACAAGCATTCCTATACACCAATAACAGACAAACAGAGAGTTAAATCATGACTGAACTCCCATTCACAATTGCTACAAACAGAATAAAATATCTAGGAATACAACTTACAAGAGATGTGAATGACCTCTTCAAGGAGAACTATAAACCACTGCTCAAGGAAATAAGAGAGGACACAAACAAATGGAAAAACATTCCATGCTCATGGATAGGAAGAATCAATATTGTGAAAATGGCCATACTGCCCAAGGTAACTTATAGATTCAATGCTATCCCCATCAAACTACCATTTACTTTCTTCACAGAATTGGAAAAAACTACTTTAAATTGCATGTGGAACCAAACAAGAGCCTGCATAGCCAAGACAACCCTAAGCAAAAAGAATAAAGCTGGAAGCATCACACTACCTGACTTCAAACTATACTACAAGTCTACAGTAACCAAAATAGCATGGTACTGGTACCAAAACAGATATATAGACCAATGGAACAGAAAAAGAGGCCTCAGAAATAACACCACACATCTACAACCATCTGATCTTTGACAAACCTGACAAAAACAAGAAATGGGGAAAGGATTCCCTATTTAATAAATGGTATTGGGAAAACTGGCTAGCCATATGCAGAAAGCTGAAACTGGTTCCCTTCCTTACACCTTATACAAAAATTAACTCAAGATGGATTAAAGACTTAAACAGAAGACCTAAAACCATCAAAACCCTAGAAGAAAACCTAGGCAATACCATTCAGGACATAGGCATGGGCATAGACTTCATGACTAAAACACCAAAAGCTATTGCAACAAAAGCCAAAATTGAAAAATGGGATCTAATTAATCTAAAGAGCTTCTGCACAGCAAAAGAAACTACCATCAGAGTGAACAGGCAACCTACAGAATGGGAGAAAATTTTTACAATCTACCCATCTGACAAAGAGCTAATATCCAGAATATACAAGGAACTTAAACAAATTTACAAGAAAAAAACAAACAACCCCATCAAAAAGTGGGCAAAGGATATGAACAGACATTTCTCAAAAGAAGATATTTATGCAGCCAACAAACATATGAAAAAATGCTCATCATCACTGGTCATTAGAGAAATGCAAATCAAAACTACAATGAGATACCATCTCATGCCAGTTAGAATGGTGTTTATTAAAAAGTCAGGAAACAACAGATGCTGAAGAGGATGTGGAGAAATAGGAACACTTTTACACTGTTGCTGGGAGTGTAAATTAGTTCGACCATTGTGGAAGACAGTGTGGCAATTCCTCAAGGATCTAGAACTAGAAATACCATTTGACCCAGCAATCCCACTACTGGGTATATACCCAAAGGATTATAAATCATTCTACCATAAAGACACATGCACGCATATGTTTATTGTGGCACTATTCACAATAGCAAAGACCTGGAACCAACTCAAATGCCCATCAATGATAAACTGGATAAAGAAAATGTGGCACATAATACACCATGGAATACTATGCAGCCATAAAGAAGGATGAGTTCATGTCCTTTGCAGGGACATGGATGAAGCTGGAAACCATCATTCTCAGCAAACTAACACAAGAACAGAAAACCAAACACCACAGGTTCTCACTCATAAGTGGGAGTTGAACAATGAGGACACAGGGAGGGGAACATCACACACCATGGCCTGTTGGGGGCTGGGGGGGTGCGGGGAGGGATAGCATTAGGAGAAATACCTAATGTAGCTGATGGGTTAATAGGTGCAGCAAACCACCATGGCACGTGTATACCTATGTAACAAACCTGCACGTTCTGCACATGTACCCCAGAACTTAAAGAATAATAAAAAAAGAAAAAAGAAAAAAAGAAAACAAAACATTTCTATCTTGTTTGTACCACTGGATTTTTGTGGTATCTTGCCATAATTAATCATCATGAAACAAATCCCTTCAGAATATATATACATCAGTCAGATTGGGATAGGCTATGTTGTACCCATCACAACGCTTAAAATCTTGTGTGCCTATAAGAAATAGGTTTATTTCTCACTCCTGCTATGTGTCTGTCCACTGTGAGTCAGCTGCTAGTTCTGTTCCACTTCTTCTCACTCCAGGACGAGTGAAGGGAACCCCCATCATTTGAACTATCATTGTCGCCCCAACAGGGAGAAGGAATATGGAAATCATGAGTTGTTTCTTAAAGCTTCCACCAGAAGTGACAGTTCTTACTTTTGCTCATGTTCTGCTGACCAACGTTAAGGTCTGTGCCGGAGCAGGTACGGTGAGGCCCTGCCCCACCTCACCTCAGCTGCTGGAGCTTCCCTGGAGCACAGTGCAGTTCCCAGCAAGCTGGCAGCTTCCACCTCAAATGCCTGCTTCTCTCTCCTATTCCCAGGGACTTTTCCCAACACCAGGGCTGGTTCCACTCACACAATCCAGAAATACAAGGATGATAATGCCACTGCAGCAACATTCAACAGCTGGAAGGTGGTAGTTGGTGATCAATGCCCCAGTATCCCACTTTTGTTTTTTTAATGACACAATTCTAAGGCAAAATTCACTTTATTTCTCTGAGTGGCCTCATTAGAATTGAGCACCAGTTGCCCATAGCTAGCTTTCCCTCATCCCTGTCTCACTTCCCCACTTTTTGTGTGTGTGTGTGTGTGTGTGTGTGTGTGTGTGATAGAGTTTTGCTCTTATCACCCAGACTGGAGTGCAATGGCGCAATCTCGGCTCACAGCAACCTCCACCTCCCAGGTTCAAGTGTTTCTCCTGCCTCAGCCTCCTGAGTAGCTGGGATTACAGGCAAGCACCACCACCACGCCCAGCTAATTTTTGTATTTTTAGTAGAGATGGAGTTTTACCACGTTGGCCAAGCTGGTCTCGAAGTCCTGACCTGCCCACCTCGGCCTCCCAAAGTGCTGGGATTACAGGTGTGACCACTTCCTCACTTTCGTTTCCTGAGATCACCTTCCACATATGCTATACTGCACCCAAGACTTTGTCTCAGGGTCCACCTTTACGGGAAATCAAATTAAGATAAATGGCCATGCCTAATTTAAAGGGAACAGGAAAAGCCATTTCAATAAGACTTCAGAATGACAATAGCTCTACTGACTCCCACAGCTTCCAGCACCTTCTAGGGTTAGTTCCCAAGAATCAGGGCCACACATTCCAATCACACTGGGCTTTGTCCTTTTGCCTTCGTTTTTTTGCTTCTATACCACTTGTCATATTCTCTGCCTGGATTATTCTTTCCTTCTTGTTTTTAATATCTGTAATCCAAGTTACTCCTTAATTTAAGACCCAACCAAATATTGCCTCCACACTGCTTTATCTGATCCTGCCATCTCTTACCCTATCCCCCAAAGAAGGAAAAAATTCTTCCCTCCTTTAAACACCTAATAGTCTTTTACACTTCTTACTTTCTATCTTGCAATGTAATTATGTTATGTTTTACCTACCCTCATCTATTGCAGTCTTATCAATGACAAGATTTTTTCTCAATCCATCTTTATCTTCCTCATTGCGTAAGAGTGCTAGTGCATAATAAATGCTGTTGGCCCATGATTGGCTAGGTGAGTGGCTGATTTTCTTCATTTGGGAATGTATTTATTCCACTCCTACTGAGCTAACCAAAACACATTTCCCATCAGAAGCTAATACAGAAGAAAGTTGGTTTATGTTTGTGTACAAAATCTGTGACAATTCATTGTAGCTCCCTCTTTTCTCACAATAAATGATTGATTGCAAGAGAAGTGAACTTAATTTTGTAGGGCATTTTCTATCTTCTGAAGTACATGCATATTTTTACTTAGCACCGTGTTATTCTGTTTAGGATGCTGTAGCAAAAAACACCATAAACCAGGTGGCTTATAAACAACAGAAATTTATTGCTCACAGTTCAGGAGGCCTGAAAGTCTAAGATCAAGGTTCTGGCAATTCGGCATCTGGTGAGGACTGTTTCCCTGCTTTGTAGATGGTGGTTTCTTGCTGTGTCCTCACATAGGGGATGGGATGAATGACTTCCTTTGGGGTACTGTCCTCATGACCCAGTCACCTCCCTATAACCCCACCTTACCCCACCTCTTAATAGCATCACCTTGGGGATTAGGTTCCAACAAATGAATTTTGGGGGCACACATTCAGCCCATAGCAAGAGCATTTGTGTTGTGTGTAAACTTTACTGAAAGCAGAAATGAGAGTGGTCTCACCTCTGTATACAATTTGGGGCTCCTAATACAAGAGACTTAAATAACAAGAAGACCCTGTCTTTTAACAATAATTGCACTTAATTTGAAATTAAATACAGCCTAGAAAACAAGCTGTCCTTGGACTCCATGGCAAGCCTCTCAGAAGTTTGGGATAAGCTTTGTGCCTGAAGAAGTGGCTGCAGCTATTGTTTTACACTTTTTAAAATGAAGGTGGTAGCTGCCAATGTAAAATCAACTGTGGGCCAGATAAATAGACCCACATATTTTGGACAGTTTCCTGCATTGTCTTGGTGATCTGACAGCCCCAGGCTCAAAGAACCCTGTTCATTTAACAAATATTGACTGGACTCCTGTTATATGCCAGGGCCTGTCCTAGGCCCTGGGAACATGACATTGAGCAACAGCATGGCCCCTGTCCTTAGAGAACGAACATTCCAGTGTGTGTGTTGTTAGGGGAAGCTGTCCTGACCTTACCATATATTAGCTATGTCATCGTGGGTAAGTCACTAGATCTATTTTAACCAACATTATTATTGCTGTTTATAAAGAGGATATAGCATCCAGCAGCCTCATCTTTCTGCAGTAGGATTCAGATGAGATCGTCTAGGTGAGTCCAGACTTAGCTATGATTGGGTATGGGTGCCCAGGTAGAATGAATACTTGAAGGGAAGCCATGATGGGTCCCTAAGGATTCATGGAGTTATTTGCATATCTTCTCCAATGTCAAGGGCAGGTAAGTCTCAGCTGGGCACACCAGGGAGAGAAGCAGCTGCCTCAGGAATCTGTGTCTGGAAGGAATTATACGAACATTTCCAAGGGAGAAAAAGAAAAGCATAAGAAACCTATAGTTGGTCCAAAGTAGGACTTGCCTTTTCCAAAGCCCAGCCCTTACTGGCAATTTAAAGAAAGCTGCCTTTTGGGAGAGATAGAAGATTGGGAATATGTGGTGGGAACTAGGACAAAGAGGTATGAGGAGATTCAGGGCAGATGCAGCATTTGGTTGTCTGTCTCCAGTGTATGTAAAAGGTTCCTTCCAGTTATTTTCTCAAGAGTTCACCTTAAGAAGAGCCACAGTGGATGGCCGGGCACGGTGACTCATGCCTGTAATCCCAGTACTTTGAAAGGCTGAGGAGGGCAGATCACTTGAGTCAGGAGTTTGAGACCAGCCTGGCCAACATGGTGCTACCCCGTCTCTACTAAAAATACAAAAATTAGCCAGGCATGGTGGTGCACGCTTATAGTCCCCAGCTACTTGGGAGGCTAAGGCAGGAGAATCGTTTCAACACAGGAGGCAGAGGCTGCAGTGAGCCAAGATCATGCCACTGCACTCCAGCCTGGGAGACAGAGTGAGACTCCATCTCAGGAAAAAAAAAAAAAAAAAAAATGGAGAGCCACAGTGGGGAATATGTTAATATGTTTAAAGTGCTGGTTTTACCTGAGGGAGGGAGATCAAGGAATATTTATCGTGGGTAGTTTCCAAAGCCACAGAAGAGATGTGTGCTCCAGAACCGTGTTTCTCAGACTTTTTTTTTCTTTTTCATTATTGTACCTCTACGAAGAAAAAAAAATATTTAAACTTTAAATTAATTAATAAATTTCAATTTGAAATTAAATTTCTCCCTAATGAGAGAAATTAAGTATTAAGGACTATGATTTTGTCAGGTAGCATTGAGCTACCTGACAAACCACAAACCATTGCAATATCCAAATTTCTGCAATCCCCTAAGAATCAATTTTCACCTCTTCAAGCACAATTTCACCCCTGTGGAAAATTGCAAAGGAATTCTTTAATAGATCGATGAAATATCCTGTAGGATACTCCCATTCACTTTTCCCAGGTCCCATGCTATCTGGTGGGCCAGGTGCCTTAATACAGCCCTGAACATGCGAAACTGAAGACAGGGCCCTCTGGGTGCAAAGGGTCTACCAAGATGCAATGTCCTGTGAGACTTGGCCTAAAATACCCACCTAATCTTAAACTAGGAAAAGAACAAAAGAGCAGCGAAGTTAGCAACCCAAAGGGCTTTCACAAAGCAATTTAAATGTAAATGCCAGATTGACTATTGGATATTTACTCAACACCTATTCCGTGCAACACACTGGGATAAGACATTATTTTGGGCTTGCTGATCTTAAACAATGTCAAATTTTCAGTGGTCATTTGCAGGGAATACATGAGGGAGCAGCACAAGCCTTGACTCAAAGGTGGGGACAGAACACTGCGGCCTTCACACAGGAGGCCCTTTCCGTCTTTATAGGCAGCCATCCAAACTGGATTCAGCAATCCATTTCTCCAAAACATCATACATGGCAACCCTGAATTAAAGACAGGCTTCAGAGAAAAAAATGTAGGGAGTTCCTCTCCCAGACTCATCTCTTTTCCAGAAAAGTCTAACAGGAAATTAATCAAAAGGTACAACAGATCTTATGAAATTTCTTTTGGAGCCTGAACATATACTATTCTGCGTAGCTGGGCTAGTAACATTCTGGTTTAGGGAACCAAATGTCCTCACTGATCACAATAATTTGTGTCTTCATATAAATTACTTCTGATCTGGAATGTTGTTTCTTCTTCTTTCTTAGTCTCCTGGTGAATTTTTATACTTTTGCCAAAGATCTGATACTCAGGAGAAATTAAAATCAACAGAGAAATTAATGGGCCTGATTCTTATGTAACTATGGAACTCTGTAGGACAATTCTTTCACAAAGAAAACTGGGCACCTTGAGAGTGTAATTAAAGGTAATTCGAATCTAAATGTGGGGCAGAGTTAAGAGGATCAGGACAGGTACTCAAATCAAGTCCCATGGTAGGGTGGGAAGAAAAGAGAGAGGAGGTAACCAGAGGGAAGGCAAGTTATCAACATGAATACGTAAGTTTGATTATGTGACCAAATTCACCTTAACCATATCAAGTCTTTACTTCACACCATTGGGCAAAACAAATTTTAAATTCATATGTAATTTTAAAAGTTCAGGAAACCAGACTTCAAAATTTATTCAATATGGATCTCAACTTCAAAATTTAAGGCTAAGTCAGGCAGTATTTCATTATCACAGTTGAGTACATGTCAGACGACAGATAGCATCTTCTGGTTGAGATTTCAACTGTATTTTATTTGATTAACTCGGCAGAAATATTAAGTCACACAGACTTGAGAGTTATTTAGCATCTGCAGCTAGCAGTTATTCAAAATGCCAAAGGGAAAACCATCAGATAGCTTTTCCAAATGAGCAGAACAAGCATATTGGGCTATTGTAGGTATTTGTATTTGGGAAAGTTCAAAAATGCAAATGAAGGAATGAATTCAAGCACATGTTTATGTATGACAAAGCTGTGTAGATTTATTTGCAAATTTTTGCAGGTCCATTTATGGAATTGAAGGAGAAATAAATGTGAGTTGACTGGCTTTTAACAACTATTAAACAATCAAGACCGAAGCATTTGGGTACACTCTGCTTTGCCTCCCCAGGCACCTTCTAATGCTGCCTAGCTTTCCTAAGCAAGAAACCTTGACATTATTTAATTTCATTGTTGGTGTTGCTTCCATAGTTCCATCAACATTATCATTCACATGGGAAAGAGAAATGGAAACGGTTAGATCAAATTCAGTTTTGTTATATGTATGCTTGGAGTCATAAACAACTAGGAAAGAATAATTTATCAGACACTTCAGCTGTTTTGACACAATACCAAGTGAAATGAATACTTGAAACAATTTGATTAGTGTAGAAATTCAGTCTGGATAATACTTGCATCAGGAAGTGTTTTTAAACTGAATATGTTCTGGTCTACTTGTTTCAAATCAACTAGACACTTTGCCAAATCTCTTCTTCACTTTGTGTTTTATGAACACACTGTTATTTAACATCACCTCTCCAGTTAGGTTCTACCCAAACTGGAAATGAGGTAAAAAGATAACAGCTGACATTTGCCAACAGTTATCAGTTTCGATTTGCAAGAAAAATCCTATGAACCATACTTTGTCATTTTGCCAAAACAACTGAATTTTAAGGAATTGTGTTTTTAAAGGTGATCTGTATAATGTATGTAATAAAATCAAAATTTTAATTTTATACATTTAATTTATAACTTAAAACATTTTTCTATATCTGAATGTACAAACTGGGGCAGGGGGAGTCCTTTATCAGACCTGTGCCTGCGTTTTTGATTGGGAAAATAGTTAATTCTCAATCATGATTATGTAGACAGTTCAGGAACTGCAGCATAAGAAATGTCAGTGCCTTGGATTATGGCAGTGGACAGAAGCCAAGGGTATTGCCAAACATCCCACAATGTACGAGACAACCCCCAACAACCAAGAATCATTAGGCTCAAAATGTCAATAGTGCCAAAGGCAAGAAACTCTGGATTATGGCAAAGAAAACCAAAAGGTTAGATTTTCTTCAGGAACAACTGTTAAGTTATGATTAGAAGGTAGAGAGAAAGATAAGCACTGAGCTGGGAGTTAAGAGGTATTTCTAGTCCTTTTTCTGTCAACACGCCAAACAAAAATTTAATGACTTAAAACTGAAAAATGATTAATTTAAGCAAGTTAAATATTTATAGGAGCCTCGGTTTTCTCCTACGTGAAATAAGGACCCCAAGCTTTACATTTTGTAAAAGCCTTTCAATTATGCCTTTCCATTAGGCCAGAACTTGATTTACTGAAGTATTTTACCATTTATAAAATTATTTTACATCCAGCATTTTATTTATTTAAATAAATAACATAAATATTAACACTTTGTGATCAATAACATTTGCATAATAAATTTAAATTGGGTTATCTAAAGGAAAATACAATCCTATCTGTGCTTGGGACCCTCCAAGAGACGAGTTGCCTCAACCCAACCTGCCCCCCAGACACCCCAGCCCACCAAGAGTTGGAGGCTACTTCCCTTCCCCTTCAATCTCAGTTGGTCTTGTGACTTGTTTTGGCCAATTAAATGAGTGCCAGTGCTGTGCCAGTCCCAGGTCCAGGCCTAAATAGGCCTGGCGGCTTCCACTTTTACATTCTCAGAGCCAGCTGTGATGCCATAAGAAATCCAGACTAGACTACTGAACTATCAGAGGGCCGTCTGAGAAAAGTCCCGGACAATGAGAGGCCACTTTGGATATGCCACCCCAGCTGAGCTCCCAACTGAGTGCAGCTGCAGTAGTGACCCAGTCAACATCATGCAAAGCAGAAGAACCACCAAGATACGCCCCACTCCTGGGCCCACAGAATGTCGCAATCATACATCGTTGTTTTAAGCCATTACGTTGGAATTTTGTGTTTCACATCAATAGATAACTGAAACAGAGCTTTGCTGGCAACTCAAAGAAATCCTCTTCAGCGTCATCTACACGTGACTTTATCTTCTCTGTCAGGGACAAAAGGCAGAGGCATGACTGTTCCCAGAATGTTCAGTGGCCTATCACTGCCTTTTATTTTTCCTAACCAGAAAGAATTTCTATTGCAACCAAGTTTCTTACTACCCCCTCCAACTAATCTGCTTAGCTTTGCTGAGAAAGTTAGTGTGATATTACTAGAGAACTCAGGGAATGATACGATGCTGGAACAGATCCCTGCTTTCCCAATTATAACACAAGCTGTACAGAGTTTTAGCTGCTGCTTCTAATGTGTGCAAAATTCAGTCACCTCGCTTCGATGTACTCAGTATAATCAACACAAAATGGCTGAGCCAAGCCTGGAAATTCTTATTTTTTTCCACATAAAATACAGGTGGCTAATTGTTCCAACACTCAAATCTCCAGACTATTTTTGACTTGGCTAATGCTGAAAAAGATCAAATGTGGGAAAAAAAGTGCAATAAGTTGCCAGATGCATTTTTGTCTTGATTCAGGTGTTTCTATGTAAAAGTATAAAACCCTGAGGATAGCTGGGCAGTGGGAGACCTTGAAGATGACTCCCAGGCCATACTTGCAGGCACCATGGTCTGCCTTTGATTTCCTGCTTCTCAGAGGAAAGCTTACAAGCCAGAGCACTGACCCAGTACCCTGAGCACAGAGAGGACAGGAGGAGCCTCACCCCTGCTAGGCTTTGCGCACTCCATCTCATTATTTCCTACCGGAAAGTTTTGGCAGGAGAATGCAAAAGTTGGAATTTTGGGAAAGGGAGTCTTTGGTCCAATCAAAAGTCTCAGAGTTAAATTAAAAAGCCGTGAGACTTCTTCTAGAGTCCATAAAGCCCCATCCTCAAGCATATAGAAAATCTAAATATAATCTTTGAACCAGCCCAGTGCTATCAGGTCCCACATCCCACCTCCCTATCCTTGCATCCTCTAAACATTTTCTCTCTCTGAACATTTTAATTACATTCAAACACAGTAAGATACACCTTCCGTTTTTATTGTAAAAACATCCCTTTGAATGTTGCCAACTGGCTTTCTAAAAATGTTATTTCAATTTGCACTGCTACCAGTTTTGCCAAAGCATGACAAAGACAGAAAATAATTATTTTAACAATTAAGGGTGGCTTAACAGATGAGAAATGATATTTGATTTTTTAATTAACCTTTTTTATATAGGAATATATACAGTGTTTGCTCATAGGAGTCATCTCAAAATCAAATTATTACCTAGACTATGAATATAGTCAGTAATTAAAACCAAAAGAAATCAAGATCTCAAAAATTTCCATAGCTTTTCATTTAATAATTCTTATACCTCATACAACTGGAAATTCATGCACATAAAATAACTAAAAGAAAAAAGTTATAAGGTCAAAGACAGCTGATTTATCCAGTGTAAAGTGATTTAGTAATGCAGTCAAAATTTGAAAATGCCATTCTTCCCTAAATTCTTTGACATGTGACAAGAATTTTAAATGGATTATTTTAGCTAGTAGGCAACTGCAAAAATACCAGGCAGAGATAAGGAAGCTGTGTGAGTATTTTTGGAATTCAAAATTGTGAGAGCAGATGAGATTACGCAAAAGATTACACAGATGGAAACTGGCCCAGGATTAAGCCAGCACTGACAATAACACAATGTGGACTGTCTTCTAAAAGAAGCTAAAAGAATAGAGAGGCCTAGAAACAGAGCTAGGAGAGAGTAGGGTCTTCCAAGTCTGAGAGAAAAGGATTTGGGAAAAGGTTGGGGGTAGGGGAAAATTGTCCAGCCTTAACAAGCAGAAAAGTGAAGGTATTTTCAGAAGAAAAGGATGTTTTTGAACTTGAATCTGAAGGGACTATGGATGATCTTCGACTTACAATGGGCTTACCTCCCAGGAAGCCCATCAATAGTGGAAAATATCAAGTTGGAAATGCATTTAATATATTTAACTTACTGAACATCACAGGTTAGCCTAGCCTATCTTAAAGATGCTCTGAACATTTATATTTGCCTACAGTTGGGCAAAATCACCTAACACAAAGCCTATTTCATAAAGTTGAATGTCTCATGTAATTCATTGAATGCAGTATACTGTAGAGTGCAGTATTAGTTGTTTACCCTGCTGATCGTGCAGCTGAATGGGAGCTGCGGCTCACTGCTGTTGCCTAGCATCATGAGAGAGCATCATTCTGCAAATCGCTGGCCCAGGAAAAGGTCAAAATTCAAAGTACAGTGTCTACTAAATACATATCACTTTAGCACTGTCATAAAGTCTAAAATTCATAAGTTAAACCACAGTAAGTTGGAGGCCCTCCAATCCTGCCCTCCAATAACTGTGTCACCTCTCACTTCTCACCATCAGCTGTAAGCTGATGGAGAATGCAGGACAATGCATTACTCCATCCTCAAATAATTAACAATGACTAGAAAACAAATCAAGGTCATTTCAAGGTCTTGGATCCAGAAAGAGACAGAGGACCGGGTCAGTGGACACCTTAGTGTTTGAGGAAGTTGTAAAGCAGGAATCAGGTGTGAATGCAGAGAGGAGGGAGGCAGAGGGCAAGAGTTAGCTGATCTCTAGACAGGGGACTCGAGGCCAGAATTCTGGTCCTGCCCTCCTGGTTCCTGCCCTAGCCATGTTGGGCAAGTCACAGACCTTCTGGAGGACCAGAAAGGAAACAATCTCTAATGTCATTCCTAGTTCCAAAGATCTATGTCCTAAGGACAGAAGATTTGTGGTGGGAGGAGAGCTGGGGTGGGGGGAAGCTGTGCAAAGAAATATATAAGCTTGTGAATTAACCCCCTTCCTTTTTTAAAATAAAAGACAATATATAATAATTTAGAAATTTTAATTTTGTTAGAAAGCAATAAGAAATGGTAGGGGACAAGAAAACAAACAATGAAGAAAAGAAAAAGAAAAGAAATGGTAGGGGACAGAAAAGATATTTGTATTCATGGGCCATGCCTCCAGAGTTCAAACTCTGGTCATCCTGATATGGAGTCTAGTTTTAATATAAGGAACCAGGATAGTGCTTGAAAAGGAAATATCACTATTACCTGATTTTTCAAAAGATACTCAAGTCTAAGTTTTGGCAAAAGGTAGTTGTTAGTTTATATAGTTTAAAACATTAGTAATAGCACATTTTCTTGTCTATATCTTTCTGAGACAGGTTAATTTTCATTTCAGGGACATGTACTGATGTTGGGAGATGGTTCTCCATGGGCTTTTTGCATTCCTGCACATTCTTGCTGGATGTGCCAGAAATGCAAGGTTCTTTATTGGGGCCATTTTGCAGGGGTGCATTTGCAATGTGCACCTTGAGAGCTGAGGGAAAGGCTGGGCGCTGTGGCTCATGCCTGTAATCCCAACACTTGGGGAGGCCAAAGTAGGCAGATCACTTGAGGTCAGGAGTTCAAAACCAGCCTGGCCAACAGGGTGAAACTCCGTCTCTACCAAAAAATACAAAAAAAAATTAGCTGGGTGCGGTGGTGTGGCCACCTGTAATCCCAGCCACTCAGGAGGCTGAGGCACGAGAATCGCTTGAACCCAGGAGGCGGAGGTTGCAGTGAGCCGAGATCGCACCACTGCACTCCAGCCAGGGTGACAGAGTGAGACCGTGTCTCAAAAAAAAAAAAAAAAAAAAACAGAGCTGAGGGAAAAGAGCAAGTAAGCCACTGCCTGCTATAGAATGGCTGGTTCTCCACCCTCATTGTTTTTTATGACATGACCCACTGCATGTGTAGGTATCTATGCAGGACCTAATTCTTACCCTTGTGGGAACTGGGGTTCAGGGGGAAAAGCACAAATTCTGATACTCTGGCTACTGCTTTTGCTGTGAGTAATAAAGTCATCTCTGGGGAAAAAAAGAGAAGAATTTAAATTGCCACTCAAAATGCCCATGACAGTCACAATAGTTATAAATGTACTCCCTTCTTTCATGTCTGCACATCTGAGGTTCTACATACAAGGATGATGCTATTAAAGAGAGCTGAAATGTAACTGGTCCCCAAACAAGGTGTCAGTAATAAAGTTTTATTGGAACACAGCCATGCCCATTCATCATGCCCATTGTCTATGGCTGCTGTCCTGCTGAAAGGCGAAGCTGAAGCACTGGGATGGAAGCAGTATGACCACAAATCTGGAAATATTTACTACATGGCCCTTTTCACAACAGTTTACCAAGCCCTGCTCTAAAGCAATGGTTCTAGATCCTGATCACACACTGGAATCACTTGTGGAGTTTTAAAAAAAAATACTAATGCCGATATCCTACCCCCAGAGATTGTATTCAATTGGTCTAAAGAATACAATTGCATAATTGATAAATGAACTTCGGCATGTGGGTTTGTAAGAGTTGCTTCCATCCTGTGATTATAATGTGTGGCCGGAGTTGACAAGTTTTTGCCAAGGTTCCCTGAGCAAGACCCTACCAGAGCAGGGGCTACATCTTCAGAAGGCAACATACTCACAACTTATCTTAGTTCCCCTGCAGAAACTAATCAAAAGCTAATATTGGTATTCGAGTTTCTGTTTTCCCAGAGAAATTGTTTCACAAGTGTCCACCTAAAGAGTATTTCTCTGTCTTCTGAACAACCAAAGCCAGGCATTGACGGTTCTCTTTCTCAATGGCCCTGATGAAAGAATACATTTAATAAAGTCCTTCTAAAATTCAGTGTCAAGAGGAAAAAAATAACTCTTCAGGTAAATTTGTAAACAACCTTTTACCCAGCAACTAGAGCTACAAACACCTAAGTCCTTCATCCTTTACATTGGAACTATAATCTGTCCAGATGGCAGGTATATCTGTTTCTTTGATCCATTTATTATTTATTATTTGTCTTATTTTTAATTGCTCTGTTTTTCTCAATTATTAATTATGCAGATCCTTTTTAAAGGCAAATATTAGTAAATACAGATGTATATGCTTACTTCATAAAAACAATATAGTGTTTTTAAACATGTCTGCTGATGTTTTGACACTTTCACTGTCAAGAGTGGGATGTGTGTCCCTTCCCCTTGAATCTGTGCCAACTGTCATGACTGGTCAACCAATAGAGTACTGTATAGTGATGCTACATGGCTTCCAAGGGCCAACTGCAAAGGACAAAGCCATTTCCACCCAGCTCACTGGAAACACGCTGGAACCCTGAGCCCCTGTCTTAGTCTGCTCAGGCTGCTATAACAAAATACCATAAACAGCACGGCTTAGAAACAACAGAAACTTATTTCTCACAGCTCTAGAGGCTGGGGGGTCCAAGATGAAGGCACCAGCAGATTTGGTGTCTGGTTCATAGACGACATCCTCCCATTGTATCCTCACATGGTAGAAGGGACATGTGAGCTCTCTCTGGGACCTCTTCTAAAGGCACTTATCCCACTCAAGAGGGCTCCACCCTCATGACTTATCACCTCCTAAAGAGCCCACCTTTTAATAGCATCACCTTGGGAGTTAGGATTTTAACATGTGAATTTTGGAAGGACACAAATGTTCAGTCCTTACCAGCCACCATGTAAAGTCCTACCACCCTGAGGACACCATGCTGCAAGGAAACCCAAACCACCCCATGCAGAGAAATGACACAGGGTGGGCCTGAGATAACACAAAGATAAAAACTCCCTGCCAGTCCCCAGATAATCTAGGTTCCGGCTTTTCTAGCTCCAGCCCCATCTGACGACCACCACATTGGAGACCCTAAGCTAGAAGCACCCAGCCATATCCTCCCAAATTCCTGACCCACAGAGACCAGGAGAGATCATAAATGTATTGTTGTTGTTTGATGTCACTATATTTTGGGACAGTTTGTTAGGCTGCAATAAATAACAATACATATATCCATAATAATAGTAACATGCATAACAATCTCCAACAAAGAAGATTTCATGCCTCCGCTTCTCAGTCTCCCTGTAGCCTATCCTATTGTCAGAAAATATTAGTTAGTGACAAAGTTCATCCATTCCAGAAAGAATCAATAGTAGATACTAAAATCATTAGGTGAAAGGTTAATGGAAAACTCAATAGTATCACCCATAGCTTATTTTCTTATCACAAAAGGAGATGCCTTCCTTTACAATAGAGGGATCTGGCAGTCATCACCTTGAACAGAGTAACCAACACAGTATCACAAATAGTGGGACAGTCATCCAGACATTAAGTGCCTCCTGCTGTGATGCAATATGAAATACACAGCATAACCACCTCTGAGCTATTATCACCAAAAATGTAGTGGATAAATTACCCTTGGATCAAGTGACCATCCCTGTACTACAAGAGGTGGCTGAGGAAGAGAGTTGGCTTGAAATGTAACTTACATTGTATAGGAATTACTGGGAAGAGAGAAACAAGATAAACAGGACTGTGAGGAAACTATCAGACAGATCTAGGATGTAGGACAGTCTGCCAAATATCTGGCCTAATTTCTTCCTTTAAAATAAAGAGGAAGACACTTCTAGATTAGGAGAGACTTGAAGGACAAAATTTAACAATTCAATGCCGTGCCATCTTTATATCAAGGTGTGAAAAGAAGCATCTATAAAAGACATTTTGAGGAAAATTGGGACTATTTAAATGAGTCCCAATTTTTCTTCTTTTTATGCTTGTCACATAAAACACAATTGGCACTATTTTCTTAATAGTTAGGTTATTAATGACATTAAGAAAATACTGCCAATTGTGTTTTATGTGACAACGGTATTGTGGTCATGTAGGAACACACCTCTTTTAGAGATGCATACTGAAGTACTTAGGGGAAATATATTACAATATCTGTAGTTTACTTTAAAATAATCCAACAACAGAAAAGAAATACGGAGATAGAGCAAATAGGGAAAAATGTTAATAAGTGTTAAATCTAGGTGGTAGATTGATGGATACCTATTCTACTATTCTTTCTACTGGTCTCAATATTTGAAAATTTTCATGAAAAAAGTATTAAAAGCTTAAAAGTGTATTGAAAGCAATGTTTTTTATTGTTTTGTTTTGTTTTTTGGTTTTTTTTGAGATGGATTCTCGCCCTGTCGCCCAGGCTGGAGTGCAGTGGCGCCGAACTCGGCTCACTGCAAGCTCCGCCTCCCAGGTTCACCCCATTCTCTTGCCTCAGCCTCCGGAGTAGCGGGGACTACAGGCGCCCACCACCACGCCCAGCTAATTTTTTGTATTTTTAGTAGAGACGGGGTTTCACTTTGTTAGCCAGGATGGTCTCGATCTCCTGACCTCGTGATCCGCCCACCTGGGCCTCCCAAAGTGCTGGGATTACAGGCATGAGCCACCACTCCCAGCCAAAAGCAGTATTTTTTTAAAACACTCATCATCCAGCTATTCTAACTCAGGTGACTAATACTACAATTAAATATACATTCTTCAGGAACCCCCACACCAAAAACAAACTGTCAAACAAACAAAAAAAAAAACCCAGCTGATAACCATTCCCCCAGTGCCACCTATTTTATAGAGGATAATTTTGTTGAAAGGAGCAGAGACCCCACACACACGCATTCCCTCAAGCCTGGTAAAGATAAGTGGGGTTTATTACTAAGCTCAAATGATCTCATGAGGAGTCAAGAACAGGAGTAGAGGAGACCCAGAATTAAGGAACAAGAAGTTACCTCATGAGAGTTCGAATAGAGAGTGTTTCTAGAATCAGTGCAGTTGCAGGAACAGATATTCTTGCTTTCCCTCGGCCAGAAGAATCATTCTCTTTCTCTCCCAGACTCATCTTCTTTCTCTCCATCCTCAGTGTGTTGACTTCTCATTGCCATCACAGCTTCCCCGACCCTGACTCAGCTCGCAAGACGTTTCAGCTACAATACCCATATCCAATTGGCAGCTTTCTTTTGTGTTTCTTCATTTCTATTCACCCAAGCAAGACCCTGATTGGCTCAGCTTATCTCTGTGCTGGTACGGTAAGTCCAATCAGCTGCTATGGTTAAGTCCAATCAGCTGTGGCCAGGGAGAAACTGAATCAAGTGATAAAAAGAACAGCAGCTGAGACAACAAGGGCTTTCTGTGAGTAAGTTCCCCCTCTGAGGGGACTGTGGGCAGGGAAGACAATAGCATCCTAAAACAATCTCTATCCTGTCTTATAGAGAGCATTCTGAGCTGCAGGGCGATTTTTGCAAGGATGTGAAGAAGAAATTCCTGGGTTTCTACATCTCTGCACAGGACCATTGTATCCCATGAGATCATTGTCTAGCTGATTAGTATAAAGCAGTGATTATCTCAGAACACAACATTTACCTATGATTTTTCTCTGAACTGAACACATACCTGAAAATAGATGAAGCAAGATGACCAATCCTCTGTCTGGGTTTGAGCAATACAAAACAATCACAGACTTTCATTGAGATCTAATAGTACCCTTTCTTTATTTAGCCAGTAAACATACATTGAGTGAATGTCTGCTGTGTGTGTCACACTTTACTAGGGGAAATGCAGGTACACACAAAGAAGGAGAAGGCAAAGCCTCTGTGGGTAAGAATATTACACTACTGTTGAGTGAAATGATATACACACTCCAGAAAACACAAATAACAAAAGTAATTGCATCAGAGGAGAGCTGTCATAGCTCAATGTATGCTAAGTGTAAAGTGGATGCTACGAGGAAAGCTGGAAAATTCAGATAAAAAGCTTTCTGGAAGGAGATTGGCCTTGGAGGACGGTAAGTAATTTTAAAGAATGTACTTCATGGTAGAGAAAACAATAAGATCGAATGCAAGAAATGTGTCAGGCAAGTCTTGAAAAACAGATCACAGGCAAACCTGATTAAAGAGGATTGTATTGAAGACAAGTGGACGGTCATTTTGAAAAGGGGGATATGGGGACCAGGTGGTGAAGGAAAGACCTTGAATGCCAGGATAATGAGCTTCATCTTCTGAGTAAGGCTTTAGAGTCAGGAAGGGAAGGGATGAGATCAGTGTTTTAGGAAGTGCTAGTGTCAAGGGTAGGCTGAAAGGCCAGAGCGCTTTGCAATTTACAAAGCATCTTCACATATGAGTCATCTACTTCTCTCCTGGCAAATGGTTTCTTATGAGGCTTTTAGAGGCTGGTGCAGGGCAACATTCAGAAATCTACCCAGACTAGAGTTACAGCAATTAAAGAGAGTAAGTTACTGGCGCCAGAATGGTCAGACAGATCAATGATGCAAAATGGAACATCTGGAAACAGACCCAAATATTTATATTTATATATATAAACTTAATATTTTATCATGGTAGCATTTTAAGTCAGCGAAGGAAATAGAATAATTTAATAAATGGTTTTAAGGCAATTGACTAACCACTTAGGGAAAAAAAAATAGGTGAGAGGCCTGCCTTACAACTTACACCAAAAAATTTTTTTGAATGGATGAAGAAGTGGATCTCAAATGTTGGTTGATATTTAATGACCTGGAGAGTTTGTAAAAAGAGAGACTCCCAGAGATTCTGATTCAGTAGTTCTTAGGTGGACCAAGAAACTACAGTCTATAAGCCAGACTGTGATAAACACTTGCTTAAAGACAAATATAAAAGATGAAACTACAAAAGCATTAAAAATAGATAAATATTTATGTGGTTCTTAGGAGGGGAAGCATGACAATGAAAGCAAAAAAAAAAAAAAAAAATTTGACTCCAAAAAAAGTAAATACTCTTTATATCATGTAAACACCAATTTCCCCTTTCCTTCCATTTAGTATAGCTAAAATCTCTGGAATATATATATAAATGAGGAAACCCTGAAGGGTGGAGAGAAGAAGGCAGGAGGCTGGGCCATGCGTGGAAGCTCACATCTGTAATCCCAGCACTTTGGGAGGCCCAGGAGTGTGGATCACTTGAGGTCAGAAGTTTGAGACCAGACTGGCCAACATGGTAAAACCCCATCTCTACTAAAAATACAAAAATTAACCAGGCATGGTGGCAGGTACCTGTAATCCCAGCTACTCAGGAGGCTGAGACAGGAGAATCACTTGAACCTGCGAGGCAGAGGTTGCCGTGAACTGAGATCACGCCACTGCACTCCAGGCTGGTCAACAGAGTGAGACTCCTTCTCAAAAAAGGAAAAAAAAAAGAAGAAGACAGAGGGGCTAAGGACTTTGGGACCTGAGGTGAGCTCCTTGATTTTCTTTTTGTCTCATGAACCCCAGCCTGGATGGTGGAGAAGCCAGCAACCCAGAAATGCCATCAGGTGCAGACAGAAAAGCCCAAGAAAAGCCTGCTCTCTCTAGCCCAAAGAATGTGGAATGGGCAGCCGAGCAGGACAAAAACTTTTAGGCAATGATATGATTGGGCTCTGTGTCCCCACCCAAATCTCATCTTGAATTGTAATCCCTACATATTGAGGGAGGGACCTGGTGGGAGATTATCGGATCATGGGGGCAGTTTCCCTTATGCTGTTCTCATGATAGTGAATTCTCACGAGAGCTGATGTTTTAAAAGTGGGACTTCCCCCTTCACTCTGTCTCTCTCCTACCACAATGTAAGACAAGCCTTGCTTCCCCTTCACCTGCTGCCATGATTGTAAGTTTCCTGAGGCCTCCCAGCAATTCAGAACTGTGAGTCAATTAAACTTTTTTTTTAAATAAATTACCCAATGTGATGGTTAATACTGAGTGTCAACTTGATTGGATTGAGGAATACAAAGTATTGATCCTGGGTGTGTCTGTGAAGGTGTTGCCAAAGGAGAATAACATTTGTGTCAGTGGGCTGGGAAAGGCAGACCCATCCTTAATCTGAGTGGGCACAATCTAATCAGCTGCCAGCGTGACTAGAATATAAGTAGGCAGAAAAATGTGAAAAAAGATTGGCCTAGCCTCCCAGCCTACATCTTTCTCCTGTGCTGGAACACTTCCTGCCCTCAAACATTGGACTCCAAGTTCTTCAGTTTTGAGATTCAGACTGGCTCTCCTTCCTCCTTAGCCTCCAGATGGTCTATTGTGGGATGTTGTGATCATGTGAGTTAACACTTAATAAATTTTCCTTTATATATATATTCCATTAGTTCTGTCCCTCTAGAGAACTCTGACTAATATACCCAGTCTCAGGTAGTTCTTTATAGTAGTGTGAAAATGGACTAATACAGTCAATAACCACTCTATTGTATTCAAACACCACAGAAAAACTGTGGCCTTACCCCTGCTAGCCAAGGCTAAGTGGAGAGCCTGGACTTCCACTTTGACCTGATGGAAACAAGATTTCCCTTCCCCTCCCTGCTGTGGTTGTGTCAGAGGTGGCCTAATGGAGAGCAAATCCAGCTGTAAAGAGTTGTCCCTCCACGGTGTCATTGGAAGCCATGTAGGGGCAATGACAGGGAACCTCTGCCCTTCCAAGCCAGAGTGGAACCAGCAGAGGCCTTGTGGGGACCCTGAACTTCCACCCCACCCAGCAGTAACAAGGATCCTCTGTTGCAAGGAAAGCCAGAGGGGAACCTGGGCTAGAACCACACATGGCAATAATGAGACAGTGCTCCCTCTTCCTTTGCCAAAGCTGTGTCAAAATAAAAACCTTCTATAACAGAAATTTTAAATAGGATCCAGAGCCTCACAACATAATATCCAAAGTATCCAGGTTTCCATTGAAAAGCATTTATCATACCAAGAACCAGGAAGATCTCTACTTGAAAGACAAAAGATAATCAACAGATGCTGGTGTAAGTTGAATGGTGGCTCCTAAAAAGAGGTAAGTTCATGGACCCTTTGAGTGTCACTTTATTTGAACAATAGATATAATTGCAGATATAATTAAGAATCTTGAGATTAGATCATCCAGGATTACCCAGATGGGCCAAAAATCCAATGGCAAGCATCCTCATTCCTCATAAGAGACAGGAGAGAGCACATGAACACAGAGGAGAAGATCATGTGAAGACAGAGGCAGAGACTGGAGTTATGCAGCCACAAGCCTGGAGTCACTAGAAATTGCAAGAGGCAAGGGAAGATTCTCTCCTAGAGCCTTTGGAGGGAGCACAGCCCTGCCAACAACTTGATTTTAGAATTCTGGGCTCCAGAATTGTGAGAGAACACACTTCTGTTGTTTTAAGCTGCCAAATGTGTTGTAATTTTTTGCCCTAGGAAATAGCCCTAGGAAACTAATACAGATGCCAATACCAAGATAACACAACTATCAGAGATTTTAAAACAATCATCATAAAAATGCTTCAATAAGCAATTACACCTATACTTGAAACAAATGCAAAAATTAGAAAGTCTCAACAACAAAAAAAAGATATAAAGACCAAGTGGAATCTTTAGAACTGAAGTGTACAATAACCAAAATAAAAAACTTTGTGGATGAATTCAACAGCAGCATGGAGATGACAGAAGAAAGAATCAGTGAACTTGAAAACAGAAATATAGAAATAACCAAATCTGAAACACAGAAATTAAATAAACTGAAAAAGAGTGACCAAAGAGATCCTCAGGGACCTGTGATACTGTCAATAAAGTTAACACTTGTGTTACTGGGGCTGAAAAAACGAAGAGAAAGAGGGTAGAGTTAAACACAATTAAAAAGTTAAAGAAAAATGGGAAAAAAAAAATCCATCCTATATATGATAGACATATATTTAGTTTAAGATCCTTTTATACCTACATGCCTTTCTAGGGGATCTTTCCTGCTCACAGTCTATCCTCTTCCTCAGCCAACTCTTATTGTACAGGGATGGTCACTTGATCCAAGGGTAATTTATCTACAGGCTACCAATAGCCCAAGACAAGGTTCTCTGGGGAAAAAAGAGAGAGAGAGAGAGGTGACAGTTATCTGCTGAGCCAGTTTCTCTTTCAGCTGGTGCTATAAACTATGGCTATTAAAATTATAAACAGGGTTGAGCATGATGGCTCACGTCTGTAGTCCCAACACTTTGGAGGGCTGCAGCAGGCTGATCATTTGAGCTCAGGAGTTCAAGACCAGCCTGGGCAACACAGCAAGACCCTGTGTCTACAAAAATTAGCCAGGTGTGTTGGTGCATGCCTAAAGTACCAGCTACTTGGGAGGCTGAGATGGGAGGATCACTTGAGCCTAGGAGGTCCAGGCTGCAGTGAGCCAAGATCACACTAGAGCACCCCAGCCTGGGCAACAGGACAAGACCCTGTCTCAAAAAAATAAAGTATAAACAACCATAAAGATAGGTGACGTTTTCTGCTGAACCAGTTTCTCTTTCAACTGGTGCTATAAACCATAGCTATTAAAAGTATAAACAACTATAGGGAATTGGGCTAAGATAAGTATAATAATTGTAATATGAGAAAACTTGTACACTAGTTGACAAGAAATAATATCAATAATATATTGGTAAGTGTTAAAAAGAAGATACCAAAACAGAATGTATAGTGTAATCACATTTGGCGGGAAATATCTATGTATCAAAATATGAAGAGTAAAGTAAAGTAAAGGAAAGAAATTAAGATTTTTCTCTCCTATTTTTTCTTTTTTACTAAGTTACACCTTCTCCTATTCTAACAATAAATACAGTTACTTGCATAATTTTTAAAGTAAAAATAAGAACTTAGAAATGGAACAATTTGATTTGCTTTGTGTGGGCTTGGTTTTTATTTGAAATTCACATAACCTATAAATCCTAGTCCAGTGTTAGCTGAGAAATTAGACAAATTTTAACACTTAAACAGGAAGAAACTATTAGTCAAAAAGACATCCCCTTCATCCACACACTAAGGCCGATTCATCTGAGGACTTTCTTTCTTAATCTACATGTATTACATTAAATTATTACTATCAGAGAAAATTATAAATAATGAACAAAATGAAGAGCATGCTTCTAAAAAATATTTGCTTTTGAAAGAACAGGAAGTCTATTACATTCATTTTTTCTTTGACTACATCCAAATAACAGATTATGAGACTACATAATAATAAAAGAACAAAATTGACCCATGTGTGCGCACACACACACAAACCTCCGAAAGGCCCCAATACAATATCCAGCATAACATAGATTGGTCCCCAAAACAGGATCCCCCCGGAGGCAATATTCATGTAGGTTAAATTAAAGTAGTTGAATCTGTTGAGAGTCACACTCTAGCTTCCACGTGGATTTTATGGAGCCTCTCCAGTAACTGTTCCCACCTAGAACATCTCTTGCTCAGCTGGAACAAAGTTGTAATTGGAAGCGGTGCCATGAAGATGACAAAAGAATTGTTAGATGTGCCACCATCATCACATAAAGTGCCAGACCTGCTAATTCATACTCAAGCCCCACCTGCTTCTAAATAGTAGACATTGACCCAAATTACCCAGATAAATACATGCAGCTTTCTATCTACCTGGAGCTCAAAGCACCCTTGGTGTTGTAAGACAGAAAGGAAATGGACATCAGCCAAGGGCCTGGCCAGTGCTCAGCATGCCCTTGGTGTTACCTATGTGTTGGGTCATGTAATCCTTGCTTTAACACTTCGAGCTTTCTATTATCTCCATTACACAAGAGATGGCTAAGGCTCAGAATAAAGAAGCTTGGGAAACAGGCCGATTTGTGCAGTGGCTCATGCCTGTAATCCCAGTACTTTGGGAGGCCAAGGTGGGTGGATCCCTTGAGGCCAGGAGTTTGACACCAGCCTGGGCAATGTGGAGAAATCCCATCTCTACTAATACCAAAAAAAAAACAAAAAACAAAAAAAAAATAGTGGGGAGTGGTGGCGGGTGCCTCTAGTCCCAGCTACTAGGAGGCTGAGGCAGGAGGAAAAGCTATGAAATTCCTGTAAGTCTTCAATAGGTGCAGCTTCCACATCAGTCCTTCCCCGAGATGGTTTCCCTGGGTTAGTGCTCCTTGCCCCTCAGCCCAGCAAACCCACTATTCCCACCTAAAGCTCCAGGTATTGTTTAGCAATCTCTCCACCTCCATTAGAACCTATTCCCAAGACATACCACTACATTTGGACCTTTAAAATCTAGCCAAAATTGGCCAAGTGCAGTGGCTCACTTCTGTAATCCCAGCACTTTGAGTGGCTAAGGTAGGAGGATCGCTTGATCCCAAAAGTTTGAGGCTACACTGAGCTATGATTGTGCCACTGCTCCCCACCCTAGGCAACAGAGCAAGTCCCTGTCTCTAGAAAAAAAAAAAAAAAAAAAAAAAAAAAAAAATATATATATATATATATATATATATATATATATATAGCAGAAACGAAAACTACCACACTCTCTTCTTGGGGAAATCGCATTCTCATCCTGAACTGCTTTTGCTTCCCACCACTAGTGAAGCAGTCCTTTTCCATCCTTCTGAAATGCCACCAGTAGGGGGCCATCAACAGGCACTGCAGGGTAAAAAAAGATGTTATGAAATCCCGCTACATAATTTGCAGGGCCTGCTACAAATTAAAAGCACAGGTTCCCTTGTTCAAAAATTATTGAGAATTTCAAGATCGTGGCAGCAGAGCATAAAACCAAACACAGGGTCCTGCTAAGCAGGGGGCCCTGTGCAACTGTTGGAGCCCATGAAGCCAGCCGGGTCCATACTGCACTGTCCTGCCATGGCCTGGGCTCCTGCTTAAGCCCAGAGCCGCACCACGATGGGCCCACATCCTCCCCACCTTCCTGCCCTCTGCCTCTTGGCCACCACACCCACTCTCCTCTCCGTCTTCTCCTATAATCCTGTCCATACACAAGGAATCACCTTCTTCATCCTGCTCCCGAAGACAAGTGTACAAGCCCTTTTCATGTCAAGGATTTCACTCTTAATTTCTACACTGCAACAGATAAGGGGCAAGAATCATAACCAGCAGAGAGGATACGGAGCTTCTCAAAGTTCTCACAGTAGGGATCCCTAGTCTCCAGGGCCAGACTCCCTCCTGAGATGTCTTAGCTGTGATGTCTTTAGCTTGCATTCCTGGAAGTGGGGCTCACAAAACACCCCCACCCCAAGGGAGGGCCATTTAGAAGGCTGTGTTCCAAAGTGATTATTACCAGGACCAGGGTTGCTAGTTCCATCATTTAGTACCTATCTGACACTCAGAAATTACTTACATAGCTTCTCCAAGCCTCAGTTTCCTTATCTATGACATAGTGATGATAAAGCAACCGAGAGCAGATAAAGCCTGAGACTCACTTTGAGGAGCATGTAGCTAAAACCACAGGTCCTGCATGTTCATCCTCTCAGAATCTCCCCATCTATGAGTCTGTTCAAAACTCCCAAAGTTCCCAGTGAATAAGGTACAGGGCAAAGGGGAACAGAACATGATTTTATGATAATCATTCAGGGGTTTCCATTTGAGGCCCCAATACAGACAGCTGTGATGTCAGACATCTGGACTGGTACTGGTACAGGAGAGTTGAAAGAGGGTATTTAAAATAAGTCTCTGACTAAGGGGTCAAATCCCACAGCTCTGCGGGCCCCTGATGACACTAGCTGCTGCAATGTTTTGGCAAAGGACAGCACTGATGGAAAGCCACTGTGAGTGAGAAAGCCACTGTGAGTCCTCCCTGTAGGGAAGTGGACAGTAGGGAGTCACCAATGGGGACTGCAATAGCAGCAGCAAAAGAGGCCCCCTTGGTTCTGGAAGGCCACTGTCATCCCTTCCTAGCCTGCCATCCCCACCACTGTCCCACAGCTCCACACAGAGCCTGAGATAAAGTCTGCAGATAATTCGTTTTGGAAGTGAGCCCAAGGAGCAGGTCTGAGAGACAGGGAAGGGAACAAGGGAAGGATGTTACCGAGGTTGCCAGCCTTACAGTGACTGGTGCTTATGAAATAGGTCTCCGAAAAGTCTGCTTGGGGAATGAAAGAGGAAAGCATTTATTCATTGACTCTCTTCCCCATTGTCCGAGAGCAGCTCCATGAGCATTAACTCCCACCCTTCTGGGTAGTGCTCCTACCCCAAGCCCAGATATCAGAGAAGCCCCAGGGCAGGAAGGGAGAGGTAGAAAGCTTAGTCCAAGGAGCGACTCCCTCTGGCTGCACCTACACAAAGCTGACTGAAGCCTGCTCAGAACAAGTCGCAGCAATAGCAGCTGAAGCAAAATATGGGGCCCAGAAGATTTGTAGTGTCCAACATAGTACAACATCCAAGAGGGTTATTGTGAAGATGAAAGGAAAAGGGCAAATGTAAATGCACTTAGTCTAGAGCCTGCTGCACAGCACGTGGGCAAAGAATATTGGCTATTGTTGCTATAGGTGGTCTTATTATTTAGACTCTTTCCTCCTCAAACCTGAAGATATGACCTGGCAGAACAACAGGAATCTTTTTTTCCCTCTGCTAGACAGCTTACATCTTAGAGCATCTCCAGATTTGGTGACACCCAAGACCCGGGGCTTCTCAGCTGGGCATGTCCTTGCAGAGTATTCATTCCTGCTGTTTTTCCCATGATAAGCCCTATTTGAAAATGATTTTTTAAAGTACAAAACACATGTGCAGTTGAAGAGTTGGCTCTGAAGTGTTTGGGCTTTTTTTAACCTCTTTTTTTCCTTTTTAAGTAGAAGGCTATCCAGACAATGAGGTCATAATTACACAAAGATTTCTCCAGTCTAAATGTAATGTAAGACAAATAACCATCTAACTTAAGACTCAAAAGGGTATCAACAAAATAAATGAGATAACTGACTGGCCCAATATGACCAAGAAATTCCTTCACATCACAGGAGGCACAGTGATCATTCCCAACACCATTACTCTGAGATAAAGAACTCATGTGGGGCATCAAAGTCGATAACAACTTCAAGCACAGAGAGCCTTAATCTTAACTAGATAATTTATCCTCAAAACCCTGGAATCCGCAGACTTTGCATTGCTCATCCTTTTCCCAGAGCAATCCCCGCTTTTTCTCTGTGTCACCGTAAAACAGCAATTAATGGGAGCACATGGGGAATGGAGTGTTCTAGATAATTGAATTTTCTAGTTAAAGAAAGGCCAGTGCCTAACAACCCTTTCTGTCCCATAACGTTTTCAAAACATGAGTCCGTTTTTCTACATCCCAAAGAGGACTTTAGATGACAGAATGGAATCTTTGTTTTAGGATTCAGTCTCTTAGATTTTAGAGCCTTCTTCATTCTGAGCACTAAAGAGAGGTAATATAGTGAATAGGAGATGGCACTGTTTGGGAGACAGACATTCAAATCCCCAGACTGTCACTTACTAGCTAAGTGATTTTACCCAAACTACTTAACCTCTCTGAGCCTTCCTTTTGTTTTTGTGACATGGGGGTAATAACATCTGTATCATACATGTTCCATAAAGGTTACACAGGCCTGACACACAAGACCCTCAATAAATGGCAGTGTCATGAGTATCCTCAGGGCTCACAGTTGGGGATGCAGAAGATGGAGAAGGTATAGGAGATAGTGCTCAGTCTACATTGATGCCAGGAGGCCCTCTGAAAGTTTCTTTGCCAAAAACATTCTTCAATATCTGCTTATTTTTCTCTTGCTTGCATCTTTCTCAAAAAAATAAATAAAATGAGAACAAAGAGAGCTATGCTTTGCTTAGCTCGTCTCAAATTTATGAATTTAAATGTCTTAAGTGTCTCTCTGCTTACTCTCTATCTAGGCCACATTATATGTGAAGGGACAGAATAGATCTTATAGTTGTAGAATGCAGAAGGCAGCTTCCAGCCCATAGTGACCATCAGGCCCTGCCTGCTCAAATACACCCTCCCCAAACCCTGCTACTTAAATGACTTCCATCAACATCACTGCTTGGGGTTAAAGCATTTCTCTAGAGAAAAGAAAATTCTCCAGAGAAAAGAAATATGTTACCTAGGAGAGAGAAGGACAGTCTCTCCTCTCAAAGGATTTACTCAAACATTAGTTTATCAGATTAATTCGTCACTATTCAGAATTCCTGGTGTCTGGCCTCTCTTTACCATACTCTCTGTGTTTAGGCATCCTCATTCATACCCGAAGCTTGGATCACCAAGCTCCAACTCCAACCCAAATCACTCTTCTAAAGGTTGTACTCAGACATTCAATGGCCTAACACCTCAATTTGGATGTCTTAAAACTGCTTCATAATAATTGTACCTAATCTAATCCTATGGCCATCCTGCTCCGAGGCGCTCTATCTCAATGACTGGCACCGCTAACCATCCAACCATGTAAGTCAGAGACCTAAGACGTGTCCGTTATTTATACCCCTCCTTCACTTTCAAAACATTAAGTCCCATAGATTTTACTACTGAGGACCTTTTGAGTCCACCTACCTCTCTGGATCTCCATGGCCACTTCTTAATCCAATCCAACATCATGTTCCAGCTGAACATTCACTACTTATATAATATCTCCTCAAATATGGCTCTTTCCACTAGAGCCAAATCTCATTCTTATAAAAAGAAGAACCAATTCATGTCTCTCCTCCAATTCAGGTCATCCCACTGTGGTTAGGATAAAGTCCAAAATTCTTAACATCGTGTACTAAGCCTTACAGAATAAAGACTTCACCAGTCTGTGAAGCCACATACCCCATCCCTCTCCTCTCATCGTCTTTCAGTTTTCGCAAACACAATGTGCTTCCTCCCACTTAAGGGCCTTTGGAAAAGTTGTTCTCCTTGCCTGAAATGATGTCCTCAACCCTATTTCTCTTCATGTAGTTAATTTTTAATCAAGGCCCAAATTTTAGCTCAAACAGCACTTCCTTAGGGTAGTCTTTCATGAGCCTCAAAATGATCAGGGATTGCTATACACACCATGGGAAGAGCTATCAGAATTATCTGGAGAAATCTTCAAAATATATGTGCCTCTGCCCTTATCTCCTTCTGTCTCTCTGTCTCCCTCTCTGTCTCTCTCTCACACACACACCACTGCTGCCGCCGCCACCACCAGATTCTCATTTCATACTTACATATGTCCAGTTGAGAAACCATTAATTATCATTATTAGCCATTATTGTGAGTGGAAGTGTGTTGTAAGCCTCAAGAACATGAAAGTGGAAAGACATCGAGAACTATTCTTCTAGATGACCTTTAAGATCCCTTCCAACTTTCAGATCTGCAGTTCTCTTACGTGCAAAGTGCTATGCTAAGACCCAGTCAATGTTCCCACGGGTACTGTCTGGAAGTGCAGGGTATTAATACTCAGTAGTGCTGGGGTTGCCAGACAAAATATAGGATACCAATTAAATTTACATTTCAGATAAACAACAAATAAGTTGTTCCTTATCTGAAATTTGAATTTAACTGGTATATTAGTTTGCTAGGGCCGCCATAGCAAAACTCCACAGGCCCAGTGGCTTGAATGACAGAAATTTATTTTCTCACGGTTCTAGAGGTTGGGTATCCAAGATTAAGATGTCAACAGGCTTGAGTTCTCCTGAGGCCTCTCTCCTTGGCTTGCAGATGGCCACCTCCTCGCATGGCTTTTTCTCTATGTGCATGCTTCCATGGTGTCACTCTGGGTGCCCTCATCTTCTCTTCTCATAAGGACATCAATAGTATTGGATCAGGGCTCACCCTATGACCTCATTTTACCTTAAAAACCCCCTTTTAAAGGCCCTATCTCCAAATATAGTCAAATTGAGGATTAGAGCTTCAACATGTGAATTCTGGAGGAGGGGATACAATTTAGTCCATAACAGATATAGTATTTTAGTATTAATATATCTTTTAATCCATAAAACTACAACTGTTGTTTATGGATACATACATATATAGTAAAATATAAAATTATGGACAGGAATAAAACAAACAAACTTCAGGGCGCTGGTTATCTCTGGTGAGGGAAAGAGGGAGAAGGGACAAGGATTGGAGTCAGTGTAGAGAAGTTGTAAATGTACCTTTTTTTTTTTTCTTAAGGAAAAAGCTATCTAAAGCTAATATAAAATGTTATTTGTTAAGTCCAAAAGGTGGGTACATGGTATATTACTCTCTGGACCTTTCTGTATGATTGGCATTTCACACTTAAAAAAAATTACATTTGGCCAGGCGTGGTGGCTCACTCCTGTAATCCCAGCACTTTGGGAGGCCGAGATGGGCAGATCACGAGGTCAGGAGATCTAGACCATCCTGGCTAACACGGTGAAACCCCGTCTCTACTAAAAATACAAAAAATTAGCTGGGCGTGGTGGCCGGCGCCTGTAGTCCCAGCTACTCGGGAGGCTGAGGCAGGAGAATGGCGTGAACCCGGGAGGCGGAGCTTGCGGTGAGCCGAGATCACGCCACTGCACTCCAGCCTGGGCGACAGAGCAAGACTCCGTCTCAAAAAAAAAAAAAAAATTACATTTAAACTAAGGATGATGATCTGCTGCTTCTAGCTTAAGAAAGAACAAAGCAAGTAGAAATTGATTTCAGCTGCACTATGGAAGACAAAAGAAGTTGTGAGCCACTTCACTGAATAGCCCATAGAGAATGAGGAATCTCCCTCTTCAATAGTTTAATATCCATGCAACACCTCTTCTGTGTAAGACACTGTAGTAGGCATTTTGGAAGAGACGATTGTATGTAAAACAGTCCATTACCAAAAAAGAGTTTATAATCTGGATGGTCCTACTTGCAAAAGAATTATATTCTAAATATTTATTTCTATACCTGTTGGTTAGAATACAGCCCTAAAGGAAGATTTCCCTATAGAGAAAAAAACAATTTATCAACTCTGGTAAAGTTCTTAAGTTAGCCATCAAAAGTTCTATTTGTTCTACAATATAAAATTATTGAATTCCAGGGTTGGAAAGGATCTTAACATAATTGAAATTCTGTGCCTTTCTAATGAAAAATAGTAGAAAACAGCATGTTTCGGAACTAGTAATGAAACAGCACAGAAAAACAGTTGAATAAGAAATAGCTTTTCTCATTACCTTGAATTCTGAAGTTTCAGGAAAAGAAGAACTAATTAAAGGCAGGTTGGAATGCAAAGGAAGCTCGTGGAAACTGGAGGGTGGAGGGAATCATGGGCATTCCAAGGTCTTTTGAGATTGATGGCACTGATTCTTTTTTGTCATTTATGGTTTCTACATTCTGTTTTAAACAATGAGCTTTATTTCCCTTGATATTCAAGTTGTCACTGATGATCTTATGTTCATTTATCTACCATAATTAAAGATCTATGCTTCAATGAATTTATTTTTTTAGTTTATTTTTAATTTTTGTGAGTACATAGTAGGTGTATACATTTATGGGGTACATGATATGTTTTGATACAGGCATGCTATGCATAATAACGACATCAGGGTAAAGGGGGTATCCATCCCTTCAAGTATTTATCCTTTTTGTTACAAACAATCCAATTATACTCTTTTAGTTCTTTTTTTTTTTTTTTAGATGGAGTCTCACTCTGTTGCTAGGCTGGAGTGCAGTGGCGCCATCCTGGCTCACCGCAACCTCCTCCTCCCGAGTTCAAGCAATTTTCCTGCCTCCGCCTCCTGAGTAGCTAGGGTTACAGGCACACGCCACCACGCCCAGCTAATTTTTGTATTTTTAGTAGAGACGGGGTTTCACCACGTTGGCCAGGATGGTCTCGATCTCCTGACCTCGTCATCCACCTGCCATGGCCTCCCAAAGTGCTGGGATTATAAGCGTGAGCCACCGAGCCCGGCCTTAGTTCTTTTTAAGTGTACAATTACGTTATCATGACTATGGTCACCCTGTTTTGCTATCAAATACTAGGTATTATTCATTCTTCCTGTCTTTTCCCCCCCATTAGCCATCCCCATCTTCCCTCCACCCACTACTACCCTTCCCAGCCTCTGGTAACTATCCTTCTACTCCCTATGTCCCTAAATTCAATTGCTTTGATTTTTAACTCCCACAAATAAGTGATAACATGAGATGTTTGTCTTTCTGTGTCTGGCTTAGTTTACTTGACATAATGAATTCCAGCTTTATCCATGTTATTGCAAATTACAAGATCTCATGCTTTTTTATGGCTCAATAGTACTCCATTGGGTATAAGTACCTCACTTTCTTTATTGATTAATCTGTTGATGGACATTTAGGTTACTTCCAAATCTTGGCTATTATGAACAGTGCTGCAACAAACATGGGAGTGCAGCTATCTCTTTGATATACTGATTTCCTTTCTTTTGGGTATATACTTGGGAGTGGGATTGCTAGATCATATGGTAGCTCTATTTTTAGTTATTTGAGAAACCTTCAAACTATTCTCCACAGTGGTTGTACTAGTTTACATTCCCACCAACAGCGTACAAGGTTTCCCTTTTCTCCACATCCTCGCTGGCATTTGATATTGCCTGTCTTTTGGATATAAACCATTTTAACTGGGGTGAGATGATATCTCATTGTAGTTTTGATTTGCATTTCTCTAACACTCAATGATATTGAGCACCTTTTCATATGCCTGTTTGCCATTTGTATGTCTTCTTTTGAGAAATGTCTATTCAAATCTTTTACCCATTTTTTGATCAGATTATTAGATTTTTTTCCTATAGGATTGTTTGAGCTCCTTATACATTCTAATTTTTAATCTCTCATCAGATCGGTAGTTTGCAAATATTTTCTCCTACTCTGTGGGTTGTCTCTTCACTTTGTTGATTGTTTCCTTCACTCTCTGAAAGTTTTTAACTTGATGTGGTCCCACTTGTCCATTTTTGCTTTGGTTGCCTGTGCTTGTACAGTATTACTCAAGAAATTTTTGCTCAGATCAATGTCCTAGAGAGTTTTTCCAAAGTTTTCTTGTAGTATTTCATACTTTTGAGGTCTTCGATTTAAGTCTTTAATTTATTTTGATTTGGATTTTTTATATGGTGAGAGATAGGGGTCAAGTTTTATTCTTCTACACATGGATATCTTGTTTTCTCAGTATCATTTATTGAAGAGACTGTCTTTTTCCCAATGTATGTTCTTGGCACCTTTGTTACAAATGAGTTAACTGTAGATGTATGGATCTGTTTCTAGGTTCTCTATTCTGTTCCATTGGTCTCTTTGTCTGTTTTTATGCCAGTAACTATGTTGTTTTAGTTACTATTGCTCTGTAGTTTAATTTGAAGTCATGTAACGTGATCCCTCCAGTTTTATTCTTTTTGCACAGGATAGCTTTGGCTTTTTGCTCAGGATAGCTCCATTCAGAAGCATATTGTTTAATTTCCATGTGTTTATATAGTTTCCAAAATTCCTCTTGTTAGTGATTTCTAGTTTTATCCCATTGTGGTCAGAGAAGATGCTTGATATTATTTCAATTTTTTGAATGTTTTAAGACTTACTTTGTTCCATATACATTTTAGGATTTTTTTTCTATTTCTGTGAAGAATGTGGTTAGTATTTTGATAGAGATTGCATTGAATCTGTAGATTGCTTTAAGTAATATGGACATTATAAGAATATTTATTCTTCAAATCCATGAACATGGAATATCTATCTTTTTCTGTGTCCTTTTCAATTTCTTCCATCAGAGTTTTACAATTTTCATTGTAGAGATCTTTCACTTTTTTAGTTAAGTTTATTCCTAGGTATTTAATTTTATTTGTGGCTATTGTAAATGGGATTAATTTTTAGTTTCTTTTTCAGATTGTTCACTGTTAGCATTTAGAAATGCTACTGATTTTTTATGTTGATCTTATACCCTGCAACTTGAGTAAATTTGTTTATCAGTTCTAATAGTTTTTTGGTGCAATCTTTAGGTTCGTCCAAATAGAAGATCATCGACAAGAAAAATAATTTTACTTCTTCCTTTCCAGTGAGGATGCCCTTTATTTCTTTCTGTTGTCTTATTGCTCTAGCTAGGAATTCCAGTACTATGTGGAATCACAGTGGTGAAGGTGGGCATCTTTGTCATGTTCCAGATCTTACAGAAAAGGCTTTCAGTTTTTCCCCATTCAGTATAATGCTAGCTGTGGTTCTGTCCTATATGGTTTTTATAATGTTGAGGTATGTTCCTTCTATTTCCAGTTTTTTGAGGGTTTTTATCATGAAAGGATGTTAAATGTTATCAAATGCTTTTTCAGCATCAATTGAAGTGATCACATGGTTTCGTCCTTCATTCTGTGATATAATGTATCACACTGATTGATTTGCATACGTTGAACCATCTTTGTATCCCTGGGATAAATCCTACTTGCTCATGATGAATGATCTTTTTAATGTATTGTTGAATTCCCTTTGCTAGTATTTCATTGAGGATTTTTGCATCAATATTTAGCAGAGATATTGGCCTTTAGTTTTCTTTTATTGACATGTCTTTGTCAGGTTTTGGTACCTGGGTAAAACTGGCCTTGTAGAATTAGTTTGGAAGTATTCCCTCCTCCTCTATTTTTTGGAACAATTTGATTTGAGAAGGATTGGTATTAGTTCTTCTTTAAATGTTTGGTAGAATTCAGCAGTGAAGCCATTATGTCCCAGGCTTTTCTTTTCCGGGGGACTTCTTATTGTGGCTTTGACCTCATTAGTTGTTATTAATCTGTTCAGGTTTTGGATTTCTTCATGATTCAATCTTGGTAGGTTGTATGTGTCTAGGAATTTATCCATTTCCTCTAGATTTTCCAAGTTATTGCGATATAGTTGCTCATAGTAGTCACTAATGTTCCTTTTAGTTTCTGTGGTATCAGCTTTAATGTCTCCTTTAAAATAAATCTCTGATTCTATTCATTTGGGGCTTTTTTCTTTTTTTCTTCATTAGCCTGGCAAAAGGTTTTTCAATTTTATCTTTTCAAAAAACCAACTTTTTGTTTCATTGAACTTTTGTATTGTTTTCTTCATTTCAAATTCATTTATTTCTGCTCTGGTCTTTATTATTTCTTTTCTTCTGCTAATTTTAGGTTTGGCTTGCTCTTGCATTTCTAGTTCTTTAAGATGAACCGTTAGGTTATTTGAAATTTTTCTACTTTTTTGATGTAGAAGCATATCGCTATGAATTTCCCTCTTAGTACTGCTTTTGCTGTATCACATAGGTTTTGGTATATTGTGTTTCCATTATCATTTGTTTCCAGAAAATTTTTAGTTTCCTTCTTAATTTCTTGATTGACCCAGTGGTCATTCAGGAGCATATTGTTTAATTTCCATGTGTTTGTATAGTTTCCAAAATTCCTCTTGTTATTGATTTCTAGTTTATTCCATTGTGGTCAGAGAAGATGTTTGATATTATTTCAATTTTTTGAATGTTTTAACACTCGTTTTGTGACTTAACATATGGTCTATCCTTAAGAACCATCATGTGCCGAAGAGAAAAATGTACATTCTGTAGCCTTCGGATGAAATGATCTGAAAACGTGTATTAGGTCAATTTGGTCTACAGTACAGGTTAAGTCCAATGTTCGTTTGTTGATTTATGCCTGTGAGATCTGTCTAATGCTGAAAGTGGGGACTCAAAGTCTCCAATTATTACTGTATAGAGATCTATGTCTCTCTTTAGCTCTAATAGTATTTGTTTTATATATTTGGGTGCTCCAGAGTTGGGTGCATATATATTTACAATTGTGATATCCTGTTGCTGGATCAACCCCTTTATCATTATATAATGACTTTTCTTTGCTCTTTTTACACATTTGTTGTGAAGTGGGTGAAGTATAGGAACAGACACTTCCCGGAAGAAGACATTTATGTAGCCAACAAACATATGGAAAAAAGCTCATCATCACTGGTCATTAGAGAAATGCAAATCAAAACCACAATGAGCTACCATCTCACACCAGTTAGAATGATGATTATTAAAAAGTCAGTAAACAACAGATACTAGAGAGGATGTGAAGAAATAGGAATGCTTTTACACTGTTGGTGGGAGTGTAAATTAGTTCAACCATTGTGGAAGACAGTGTGGCGATTTGTCAAGGATCTAGAACTAGAAATACCATTTGACCTAGCAATCCCGTTACTGGGTATATACCCAAATGATTATAAATCATTCTACTATAAAGACACATGCACACTTATGTTTATTGCAGCACTATGTACAGTAGCAAAGACTTGGAACCATCCCAAATGCCCATCAATGATAGACTGGATTAAGAAAATGTAGCACATATACACCATGGAATACTATGCAGCCATAAAAAAGGATGAGTTCATGTCCTTTGCAGGGACATGGATGAAGCTGGAAACCATTATTCTCAGCAAACTAACACAGAAACAGAAAACCAAACACTGCATGTTCTCACTTATAAGTGGGAGTTGAACAATGAGAACACATGGACACAGGGAGGGGAACATCATACACCAGGGCCTGTCTGGGGGTGGGGGGCAAGGGGAGGGACAGCATTAGGAGAGATACCTGATGTAGATGATGGGTTGATGGGTGCAGCAAACCACCATGGCACATGTATACCTATGTAACAAACCTGCAAAAAAAGAGAGAGAGAGAAAGAAAATTCTGACACATGCTACAACATGGATGAACTTTGAAGACATTATGCTAAGTGAAATAAGCCAGTCACAAAAAGACAAATATTGTACAATTCCACTTATGAGAGATACCTAAAGTGGTCAAGTTCATAGAGACAGAAAGAATGATGGGTGTCAGTGAATGAGGAAAGGAGGAAATGGAGAGTTGTTTAATGAATACAGAGTTTCAGTTTTGCAAAATGAAAAAGTTCTGGAGATCGGTTTCAACAATGTGACTATACTTAACACTACTGAACTGTAAAAAGTGATTATGATGGTAGATTTTATGTATATTTTACTGCAATTAAAAATAAAAAAAAGCAAAACAAAAATTTTTTAATTTTAAAAAAATTAAAAAAAATACACACCACTGCAAGTGAGGGATGTTGGTGGGGCAGATGGAATAGGGTCAAGGAAGATGAAAGAAATGAGTTGGGAGCTGTAAGGACATCTGGTGAAATCATTTACAGGATACTCACCACTTTTATTAGCACAGCTCCTGATGCTTTCTCTTCTTAGTACTTCGTACCATTGCAATCAGACATTTGCATGGCAATATTTTGACCTTTGTCTCCCATCCAAATCCCAAAGTCCATGAAAGCAGAAGCCTCATAGATGTACCCATCACTGTATCTCCCAAGCCATCATATTGACTGATAACTCATAGGCACTTAATATTTGTGGAATGAAATAAATGAATGAATGAATGAATGAGTGTGCAACCATAGAAATCACTCCTCTTAAATGAAAGAAAATAACTTCAAAAAATTACTATAATTGTAAATAGAGTACTGAGGTAAGTAATGTCATTGTGACTTGGCAAGTTTGCATGGAGAAGGAGGGGACTGAGTTGAGCCCTAATGTTGTCCCCACCTCTCTTTGCTGTGTGACATCCAAGTGAACTATAGACACTTCACCACTATTCCATGATAAATATGTCTCACTTGCTAGTAATTAACTACGATAGTTATGTTTTCAAGGTTCTCTAATTTTATTTGCAAAGTTTCCCTTTTGTCCTGTGAGTCTGTGATTAAATAGGAGAAAACTAGTGTAATTCATAGGATTTTAAAGTTTTGATCCTGCAAATATCAATTGCTCTGAGCTGCACCTTATTTCTCTTTAAAATTGGCATGGCCTTTACACTAAACTTCCTTGCATCTCAGATCTAAATAAATTTCTAATGAAATAAATTAAAGCTCCCTGTAAACAAAATATATATGTGATAAAAATAAAACCCTGAATTTGTGCAACAGCTCCAAAAAGGGTGCCTCATTTATCTACCCAAAAAGACAGAGAGAGAAATAAAAATTCTCTTTGGGTAACAAATGGATAAATACCAGTATTGTTATTATCCTTGCCTATAGGATGAATAAAAGAAGGAAAGAAAGGTCAGGCAACTTGCCCAAGGTCACTCTGGAAGTCAGTGATAAGGATGAGAATGGAATCCAGGTTTCCAGGCTCCTGGCCGAGTACATTTCTCTGAGGGCCATAAATTACCAGGCTGTTGAGGCCTCTAGATTCTCCAGATGTTGCCATCTCCTCAATGTCCTTGTGCCGCCACCCAATGCCTTCACATTTTTTATCGAGTTAGATGAAAGTCTCCCTCCTTCTGACATTTTTATTACCCCAAGAAACCATTATCTCCCTCTAACTCAGAAAGTTATACTCAATTGTTGGTGCAGTAACCAAACAGGAGTCAAAGACATTTCTATGATTGATGCACCCTTCACTGGAAAACAGCGGAAAATATTATTGCTTTGATATTCCCATTTTTTTCAGGCCTAAAGGTTAATCAGTTGACAATATTACACAGAAAGGCTCTTTAAGAAGTCCAACAACAGAGACAGGGTGTAAGTTGGAGAACTCTCCCCAGGTCAGGAATGGTCATTAATGCCCAGAAGAGAAGTTTTAACAAATGGGGGAAATGTAAGCATTGTTAAGGTCATGGTGGGGGTTGGTGGCACTTTACGTAAATTCAGGGATCAGAACCTAAGCGGCACCGAGTGGAGCTAAAATTGCTAATTGCTGAGGTCTTGAGGGAAAAAAGAAAAAAACAAAAAAATATGAAAAATGTAGAAGAGAAAGGGAAAGATATAGAAAAGCAAAGACAAGGAAAGTATGAGACATAAAAAGGAAAGAGAGTAAAAGAAAAGAATGAAGTTTAAACTAATAATAGCTAATGGCTATAACACGTACAGCTTATTAAAGGTTTTTCTTTGTTTTGTTTTGTTTTGTTTTGTTTTGTTTTTGAGATGGAGTCTCGCTCTGTCGCCCAGACTGGAGTTCAGTGGCGCGATCTCGGGTCACTGCAAGCTCCGCCTCCCGGATTCACGCCATTCTCCTGCCTCAGCCTCCGGAGTAGCTGGGACTGCAGGCGCCCAGCACCACTCCCAGCTAATTTTTTGTATTTTTAGTATGGTAGTAGAGACGGGGTTTCACCGTGTTAGCCAGGATGGTCTCGATCTCCTGACCTCCTGATCCGCCCGCCTCGGCCTCCCAAAGTGCTGGGATTACAGGCGTAAGCCACCGCGCCCAGCCTTATTAAAGGTTTTGACCTTTTCACTATTGCTGCAAAACTCCTGCACAGTAATAGTATCATCCCAATGTGATGAATGAGGCTCATATGCCAAAAACCAGAATGTTAGGAAATAGAAGGTGGTGGATTCAACCGCAGTTTTCTTTGCCATTTCCACCAAGGACCCAAGGAAGATCGCACTGAGTGACAGCAAGGGCATTAAAACCTCGTCTCTGACAGTAGCCCTAAGGGACTTGCTGGAACCCTCAGCTGTGTAACATAACGTGAAGGGACCTAAGGGCTTTCACTGTAGACCTTGCACAAGTTGCACTCCTCCAAGTTAAAAAAGATGAGAGGGGGATGGCAAGGGTGCCTGCTTCTTCAAAATTGAATCGAATTTGTAAGCATTCTGCTTTTAGAAAGAACCACCCATGCAAGGATACTGAGGCACCAAATAATGTCCAATGTTAAACAAACTGAAAAATGATTGCATGGGGAAAGCATATGGTAAAGATGTAAAATAAAAGACAATGCTGGTTCAGTGGCTGAGTGTTAGATCCTGGAGGGCCTAATAAACCATACTAAGGAACATAAAGTTTATGTATTGGCAATGGGGAGGCTTCAAAACATTTAAAGACAGGAGGAGGGGTTGTAAATGATATAATCAAAGCTATTTTGAAAAAAGAACCCTGATGGCAATATAAAAGAAGAACGTGTCTGTGAGACAGAATATGAGGTAAAATTCAGGCATAGAAATATGGATTAAGAGAAAAGGGGTGGTCGGGCATGGTGGCTCACTCCTGTAATCTCAGCACTTTGAGAGGCTGAGGAAGGCAGATCACGAGGTCAGGAGATCAAGACCATTCTGGCCAACATGGTGAAACCCCGTCTCTACAAAAATACAAAAATTAGCTTGGTGTGGTGGCTTGTGCCTGTAATCCCAGCTACTCGGGAGGCCGAGGCATGAGAATCACTTGAACCCAGGTGGCGAAGGTTGCCGTGAGCCGAGATCACACCACTACACTCCATCCTGGTGACAGAGCAAGACTCCGTCTCAAAAAAAAAAAAAAAGAAAAGGGAAATTTTCTGGAGAATAGAAGTAGAATCGAGGGGACAGAGGATGAGCAGGGAAGGAGTCAAAGGTGATTCTTGGAATTCTGGCCTTCATAACTGAATAAATGGTAATTATGTCCATCAAGAATGAGAAGATAACAATTTCGATTTAAGGCATATTGAATTTGAAGTAGCTGTGGACATGCAGGTGTATGTGTCCAGTAAAATGATGGAATTATGGTTCTGGAGCTCAAGAGAAAGTTAATACTGATAAGACAGGTTTAGGAATTGGCAGTATATAGATAATGATGGAAGCCACGGGAGTAGCAGCAAACATCAGTTTCCAGCCTGGATCAAGCACTCTAAAGACCCAGCCCCCAAAGGAGCCCTAGACCATGTAATAAACAGACTGGAAATGTTCATTAGGGAATTGGCTTTCAAGGAATTATTTTCCAATCAGCTTTTCTAGACTCACCAATATAACTATTTTCACCCCTGCTGTCCACCATTTTGAAGCATGTTCCCTACAGATTAGAATATCTCTTGACAGGCTTCCCTGGCTCTAGGTCCTACAGCTTTGTTTCTCAGATGCTAACACTTCTTGCCAGCTGCAGGATCTCCAAAGAATGATAAACCAGTGACCACCCACATCATCACATGGCCCTAAAAAACTTGTATATGTGTGCTCCTCTGAGGCAACATTGACCTTCCTTAGACACCCTAAAACTAAAGAAGAGAAGCTTCAATCGCCAAAATGTGGAAACACCCCAAATGTCCATCCATGAATGAATGAATGAACAAAATGTGGTATATACGCACAATTAAATCTTATTCAAAATCCTTAAAAAGAAATGAGATTCTGATGCATGCTACAACATAGACAAATCTTAAAAACGCAAATGGATAAATAACAGTATTGTTATTATCCTTGCCTGTAGGATGAATAAAAGAAGCAAAGAAAGGTCAGGTAACTTGCCCAAGATCACTCTGAAAGTCAGTGATTAGAGTCAGTTTTAAGAGAAATAAGTCAGACACAAAAAAGTCATACACAAAAAAAGACAACATTGTATCATTCCCCTTATATAAGGTACCTAGAATAGTCAAATTCATAGAGACAGAAAGTAGAATGGTGGCTACCAGGGACTGGGGCAGGGAGAGATGGGAAATTACTGTTTAACAGGTACAGAGTCTGTTTGGGATGATGAAAAAGTTTTGATATGGGTAGTAGTGATGGGTGCACAGCAATGTGAATTTACTTAATGCTGCTGAATGGTACATTCAAAATGGTTAAAATAATAAATGTTATGTTTATGTTTCATTGGTATATTTTACTACAAAAAAAATCTTAAAGAAGTGTCATGGTTGGATACAAGTATTTAAGAGGTAGAGAATGAAGAAACATTAAAATACCGAGAAGACACAATCAGAAAAGAAAAATCAGAAGAGAACAGTGACATAGGAAAGCCAAGAAAAAAGTTTAAGAGGAAGACAATCCTTTACTGAGATGGGTAATAAAGAGAAGTCACACAGGATAAAGACTTAAAAGGGTCTTTGCCTTTAACTCTGAGAAGGTCACAGACAACATCGGTGAGGGCAGCTTCTGCAGAAACTGAAGCCAAAAGTCAGATTTCAAATGGTTAAGAGAATGGAAATTGATAAGTACCATGGGAAATATACACATTTCACTTCTAGAAATTCCCCTTTCAAAGGGAATGGAAACATGCCCCTTTCAAGAATTTTGGCATTTAAGGAAAATAAACAGGGCAATATTTAGAAACGGTGTTAAATTTGAGGAAAAGGGTTTTTGTTTTGCTTCATTCTGCTTTGGTGAAACATAATTATGCCTACAGACTAAGAGAAGGACTCGATGAATAGGGAACTCTTGCATCAAGGGGAAGGGGCTCACACAAGTTCAAGGTTTGAGTGAAGGAAAAAGGATGGTATCTGCACCAGATGGAGAGATCAGCTTTAAAATAAAAGAGGGAACTTATCTTTCTCTACTGCAAGAGATGAGCCTTTTTTTCTGTGAGGCAGGAGAGGAAGGACACTTTGTATATAGATCATCTTAGAGGCCACAGCAGGGGATTTCATTGGTTCACACCTGATGTCCTCTATTTTCTCCAAGAAAATCATCTACCGAAGGAAACAGGGCCCAAAGGGGGTTTGTTACTAACACATAGTAGGTGATCCGTGAGTATTTATTGATGAAAATGATCACCAACGATGAGTATTCACTCCTCATTTTATTACCCAGTGATGGTACAATGCCTGTTACAAACTGGATGTTCAATAAATGTTGAATGAATGAATGAGGAATATATGACTGATACTTACAATGAAGGCCCTGAGTCATCAAAAGGAGTTACATTATGCTCCATGCACTCGGTTTGATAAGAAATTATATAATACAGGTTAAAAGATATCCAACATAAAAACAGTTGATTCATTTTATATTCATAAAATTAAATACAACAGAGTAATGACAAAGAAAAATCTATTGCTGTTTACAAAGACATAAATAGATCTCACAGACGTACTGTTGAGCACGAAGATCAAGATACAAGAGGATATTCTATATAATTTCATGTATATAACGTTCAAGAACAGGTGAAACTAATCTATGATGATGGAAGTCAGAATAGTGCCTACCTTGAAGAAGGGTGTCTTATATGGAAAATGTCATGAAAGAACCTGCTGAGTGCTGGACATGCCCCATGTCATGATCTCAGTGGTGGTTACACAGGTGTATGCATAGGTAAAATTTATCAGGCTGAATACCTAAGACTGCACTCTATGTAAAGTATATCTCAATTTATAAAAGATGCCCCCAACAAAAATTGATTCAGTGTTTTAAGTTTATTCAATTGCTATCTGAAATTAGCTTTAGCATGTTAAAAACAAAACTGTTTCTCTACTCATAACATTTCTGACACCAAATATGTGGGGTTTTCCTCCCAGCACCAACAAATTCAACTCTCCAGACACCAACTGGGTGCCCTACAATTTAATTTAATTTTGACACGAAGTACCCAATGTTAGCACAGACCCCACAGATTAAGGGCTCACTCCACACAACAGCATTCCACTTGAAATGCCAATTGCAAGTCAAGGCCACCCTAGTTCTGACCAAGCAGCAATAAATTGGTTCAATAATTTGCTAGAACAGCTCACAGAACTCAGGGAAGCACTGTTACTGGTTTATTATAAGGGATATTACAGATAATATGAATAAACAGCCAGGTCTGAAGAGGTATATAGGCCGAGGTCTGGAAGGTTCCTAGGCACGGGAGCTTCTCTCCCTGTGGAGTTGGGATGCACCTTCGTCCTGGATATGGATGCACTCACCAACCCAGCAGCTCTCCAAAAGCCATACTTTAGGGATTTTTATGAAGGCTGCATCACATAGGCATGGTCAATTATTAACTCAATTTCCAGCCCTCTTCTCCTTTCCAGAGGATAGGCGAGAGCTGAAAACTCCAAGCTTCTAATTATGGCTTGGTCTTTCTAGTGACCAGCCCCCATCCTGAAGCTATTCAGGAGACCACCAAGAGTCATCTCAGTAGAACAAAAGATGCTCCTGGCCCAGGCACAGTGGCTCACGCCTCTAATCCGAGAACTTTGGGAGGCCAAGGCAGGCGGATCATGAGGTCAGGAGATCGAGACCATCCTGGCCAACATGGTGAAACCCTGTCTCTACTAAAAATGCAAAAGTTAGAAGGGTGTGGTGGTGCGTGCCTGTAATCCTAGCCACTCAGGAGGCTGAGGCTGGAGAACTGCTTGAACCAGGGAGTGAGAGTTTGCAGTGAGCTGAGATCGCACCACTGCACTCCAGCCTCGCGACAGAGTGAGACTCCGTCTCAAAAACAAACAAACAAGAAAAAACAAACAACAACAACAACAACAACAAAAAAGATGCTTCTATCACCCAGCGAATTCCAAGGCTTTGAGGAGCTCTGTGTAAGACAATTCTATTATCCCCATCATTCCAGAAATTACAAAGATTTTAGGAGCTCTGCGTCAGGAACAAGCGATGAAGAACAAGTATGTACTTCTTATAATATCACACATGTGAATGAAAGTTCTGACTGGAAGAAAAAGAAAGAAATGATTTGGAGAAGAGAAGAGAGGGATTAGGTATTAGAGGGACAGGTACTAAAAACATCCATCATGGGGGTTGGGGGCTGGTAGGGAGAAAGTATAGAAAAGAAGATAAGAGGTTACCGTTTTGTTTCAAAGTTCAGTTCAATAAATCCAATTAATAATTATTGAGCACTTATTTAGTACCAAACACAATGCAAAGTTCCAGGGCAATTTCTAAAAGTGGACCAACTGCATCAGAATCATGTAAGTTGATTCTTTAAAGTGCAGATTCTTAGACCCCATCCCAGATCTACTAATTGAGAAACTCAGGGAGCTAGGCCCAGGAATCTCATTTTTAACAGTCAATCCAGGTAATTCTGCAAAGATCACAATAGTTGAGACTTGGGTCTGCACTGACTTCTCTGCCCTCAAGGGGTCAGGGGATGGAAATGAGACATATGAAGAGATGATTTCCATACAACTTGGTAAATAACAATGACCGAGATGCTGAGAGGCCGCCAAGGAAGCTTAAGAGGAATATCTAAGGGTGGCAGAAGTAACAGTAGTCAAATCAAGCGAGGTAATACCTGTGCTGAATCTTAAAGGCTGCATAGCAATTAGCAGAGGAAATTGGGGTGAAGGAAAACATGGAAAGGGTTGTTGGTTTGCAAAGTGTGGTCCCTAGAGAGCAATGTTAGCATCACCTGAGAACTTGACAGACATAAAAATACTCAAGCCCCACCCCAGACCAACTGAATCAGAATTTCTGGAGGTAGGCCTCAGCAATCTGTGTTTTCAAGCCCCAAGGGGATTCTGACCCACATATAAGTACCCTGGCTAAACAACCAGGACTGCTGGCCATGGAAGAGGCAGAGAGGCAGCAGAGTGGAGCTAGTAGGAATAGAGCCTCGGTGCCAGGCTGCCTGGGTCCAGATCCAGGCTTTGCAGCTTCCTAGCTAGGGGACCTTAAGTGAATTGGTTAATATTTTTGGCGTTGGTTTCTTTATAATAATAGACTTCATGCATAATTAGCATATATAAAGTGCTCAGGACCAAGCCTAATACATATAAACACTACATAAGTGTATGTTTTATGCAGTGTGGGCCAGCAAGGGAGATGGTAGGACTGTGTCATAGGAGACCCTGGCCTTTGAGCATCAGGATGGAGCAGGATATGGCAGAGTGCTAGGGCGTCAGCAAGGGTCAGAGCATGATATTTCACGTTTAAAAAAGAAAAAGACATCTGGGAACATCCACTTCCAAAAAACGATGAAGTAAGTGTACTTTTTCCTACTCCTCCCACTAAGTAAAACTGAAAACCCTGGACATTATAGATAACAACATTCCAAAGAGTGGAGAGAAGAAGGCAGCTCAGCAAGAGACTTTAGGACCCTTGGGACCTGAGGAATGACATAGTAATGAGTTCACTGGATTTTTCCTTTATTTATTTATTTATTTATTTATTTATTTATTTATTTATTTATTTATTTTGGATTCATATATCCCAGACTTGAAGCTGATGCAACCAGCAACCAAGAAATACCAACAGGTGCCAACAAAAAAGCCTGCTGTCTCTAGCCATAGGACCAAGAAATGGGCAGCCTAGAAAGAGAGTGTGGAAATAAACCAAGACCAACCAAATGAGGAAAGCAAAGGCTATTTTAGACATTTCTCAAAAGAAGACATACAAATGGCAAGCAAGTATAAGAAAAGATACTCAACATCATTAATCATCAGAGAAATGCAAATCAAAACTACAATAAGATATCATCTCACCCTAGTTTAAATGCCTTATATCCAAAAGACAGGCAATAACAAATGCTGGCGAGGATATGGAGAAAAGGGAATCCTCATACACTGTTGGTGGGAATGTAAATTAATACAACTGCTATGTAGAACCATTTGGAGATTCCTCAAAAAACTAAAAATAGAGCTACCATGTGTTCCAGCCATCCCACTACTGGGTGTATACCCAAAAGAAAGGAAATCAGTATATTGAAGAGATATCTGCCCTTCCGTGTTTGTTGCAGCACCATTCACAATAACCAGGATTTGGAAGCAACCTAAGTGTCCATTAACAGATCAATGGATAAAGGAAATGTAGTACATATACACAATGGACTAGTATTCAGCCATAAGAAACAATGAGAGGCTGTCATTTACAACAGCATGGTTAGAACCAGAGGTCATTATGTTAAGTGAAAAAAACAGGCACAGAAAGATAAACTTCGCATGTTCTGACTTATTTATGGGACCTAAAAATTAAAACAATTGTATTTATGGAGATAGTAGAAGGATGGTTACCAGAGGTTGGGAAGGGTAGTGGGGGGCTGGGGAAGGAAGTGGGTATGGTTAATAGGTACAAAAACTAGTTAGAAAGAATGAATAAGATCTAGTATTTGATCATGCAATAGGGTGACTACAACCAAAATAATTTAATTATACATCTTAAAATAACTTAAAAATATATAATTGGATTATTTGTAACACAAAGGATAAATGCTTGAGGGGATAGATACCCCATTTACCCCAATGTGATTATTACACATTGCATGCCTGTATCAAAACATCTCATGTACCCACATCTAATGTGGGTACATGAGATGTGCATCTGCTATGTACCTAAAAAAACTGAGTTTTTATTTATTTTTATTTTATTTATTTATTTATTTTGAGATAGAGTCTCACTCTGTCGCCCAGGCTGGAGTGCAGTGGCATGACCTCGGCTCACTGCAACCTCCGCCTCCCGGGTTCAAGTGATTCCACTGCCTCAGCCTCCTAAGTAGCTGGGATTACAGGTGCACACCACCACGCCTGGCTAATTTTTGTATTTTTAGTAGAGACGGGGTTTCACCGTGTTGGTCAGGCTGGTCTTGAACTCCTGACCTTGTGATCCACCCACCTCGGCCTCCCAAAGTCCAATTTTTTTAATTAAAAAAAATAATAATAATGGCTGTTTATTCTGAGATTGCCTCATCAAGGGAGTCAGCACAGCTACTCACATTTGGGCAAAGATTCAAAGGCAGACAGAGAAGCAGGAAAAGTTTTGTAGTGGAAAACAGGGAAGGCTTCAGGTGTGCTCTGATTGCAGGCTGTCAGCATGGGGAAGCTGTAACGGGGCTAATAGAAGCGGGGTATCCTACATGATTAGTTAGGGGTGAGTGCATCATTTGGCCTTCTCTGGTTGGCACTAAGTTGAAAGCAAGGACAAAAGTTAGGAAAGCTGTCCATTATTAATCAGGCCCTGGCCATTTGAGGCTGACTGTTACAGAGGGTATTGTTTAGTTTCCTGGATTATCACTAAAGACAGCAGTCTGGCTTCCTGGAAGTCTGACTTCTAGCAGGCTGGCTTCCTGAATTGCTCACTGTAGATCAAAAGTTGGTTTCCTGAGCAGATTGCTGCAGGCTGTGGGTCAAAGTTCTATTTTTAGATGTGGCCTGGTCATTGTCGGTTTGTATATTTGGTTTCTCAGGCATGAAGCAAGATGTGACGAGAGTATCAGAGAACTCAGCAAGGAACAGATCATGGTGTTTCATGTTTAAAACTGAAAAAGACACCTGGGAACTTCTACTTTCAAAAACATGGAGTAGATGTATTTTTTCCTATTCTTCCAGCTAAGTCGACTAAAAGTCCTGGGTATTATAAATAAGAAGAATCTGAAAAGTGCAGAGTAAAAGGCAGACCGGGAAGGAGCAGCCAAGCAATGACTGGGCGATGAGTCCCCCAGATTTTCTTCTGGTCTTGTATATCCTAGACTTGCTGATGTACCCAGCAACATAGAAATGCCAGGGGGTGCAGACAAAATCAGCCCCCACAAAAGCCTGCTCTCTCTAGCCAAACGACCAGGAAATGGGTAGCCTAGAAAGACAAAAAGCATTTAGACAACAACTGCTCTATTCCAACCAAAGAGAAAAAAGTACGGCCCATTGGAAGTGAGGAGCGCCTCTGCCTGGCTGCTGTGCAATCTTCCAAGTGTGAAGTGACAGCCTTTCTGCAGGTGTACCCAACAGCTCCGAAGAGACAGCGACCATGGAGAATGGGCCATGATGACGATGGCGGTTTTGTTGAAAAGAAAAGGGGGAAATGTGGGGAAAAGAAAGAGAGATCAGATTGTCACTGTGTCTGTGTAGAAAGAAGTAGACATAGGAGACTCCATTTTGTTCTGTACTAAGAAAAACTATTCTGCCTTGGGATGCTGTTAATCTATAACTTTACCCCCAACCCCGTGCTCTCTGAAACATGTGCTGTGTCAACTCAGGGTTAAATGGATTAAGGGCAGTGCAAGATGTGCTTTGTTAAACAGATGCTTGAAGGCAGCATGCTCGTTAAGAGTCATCACCACTCCCTAATCTCAAGTACCCAGGGACACAAACACTGCGGAAGGCCGCAGGGACCTCTGCCTAGGAAAACCAGAGACCTTTGTTCACGTGTTTATCTGCTGACCTTCTCTCCACTATTATCCTATGACCCTGCCACATCCCCCTCTCTGAGAAACACCCAAGAATGATCAATAAATACTAAAAATAAATAAATAAATAAATAAATAAATAAATAAATAAATAAATAAAAGTGACATTTTGGCCGGGCTTCACTACCCACATGTAGGTGGCTCAGGCCTGTAATCCCAATGTTTTGGAAAGCTGAGGCGGGTGGGTCACCTGAGGTCGGAAGTTCGAGACCAGCCTGGCCAACGTGTTGAAACCCCGTCTCCACTAAAAATACAAAGATTAGCCGGGTGTGGTAGTGCATGCCTGTAATCCTAGCTACTCTGGAGGCTAAGACAGGAGAATCATTTGAACCCAGGAGGCGGAGGTTGCAGTGAGGCAAGATGGTGCCATTGCACTCCAGCCTTGGCAATAAGGGCGAAACTCCATCTCAAAATCAATCAATCAATCATTCAATAATAAAAGTGACATTAAAAAAAACAAAAAAAAAAAAAGAAAAAAGTATGGCCCACCTCCACCCACACCAATGAAGGCTGGGTGAGATGCTTGGACTTCTGCTTCACCAGGCTATAACAATATGCCCCAAACTCAGCTTCAGGATGGTGTCAGAGAGGCCAGTGGGAAGCTGGGACTCTTGTTCCCATTGGGCAATAACAAATCCCCCAAGCTTTCTCAGTGAAGACCACATGGGGACCCAGAGCTCCACTCCCACCCAGCAGTTATAAGAAGCACCCATGTTTTGGGAGCCAATGGAGGCTGAATTGAGACCTGGAATTCTACCTTCTCCTGGCAGGAAGGAGGCAGCACCCACACTTCTTCTGCTAGTGCACGCTGCCCCAACCCTGCTCTAGGACGTCACGGTAAATTTGTGCTATTGGGCTCTAATTTTGCCATGGGAGCAGTTACCAACGGAGAGACTTGGTAAAGAGTACAGGGGCTCTTTCTGAATTATTTCTTAAAACTGCATTTGCATCTACAATTATCTGAAAATGAAATATTTAGTCTTTTTAAAAAATTTAAAAACAAACCTGGACTGACTCATCTGGCAAAGAAGAGCTATGGGTTTTAAGCAGAGTGAGAGATTAGGTTTGTGCCACCAGCCACCTTTTGACTGCAGCTACACAGAGGGCCCCATCATGACAATCTTGGAATACCACGGAAATTTCTCTAAGAAGAGGCTTTGGTACAGGCTGTAGGCTGCCTGCTCTGGAGAGAGAATCTTCCACTTCGCATCAACAGAGCTGACATCTGATCACCCTTTCCCATAAACTATAGGAGACAGCCAGGCACAGTGGCTCACCCCTATAATCCTAACACTTTGGGAGGCTGAGGAGAGAGGATTGCTTGAGGTCAGGAGTTCAAGACAAACCTGGCTAACACAGCAAGACCCTGTCTCTTAAAAAAAAAATTAAATAATAATAATAAAAAACATGTAGGTAGTGAAGCCCAAAGCACAGTTCAAAGTGTCCAGGTTGCTGGGGTGATGAGCTTAACGCCCCTGTGGGAAGTCATCAGGGGAAACAACCAGGAGGCGATGGATGATATTACTTATAGAGAGCTAGATCTTGATTTGAGAGACTCTTGTTTCTGACAAATATGCTCATAAACCTCCTCTGTTAATGTCAGTAGTTTCTGGAAATCCAAAAGGATAAACACAAATCAATATGACTGGTGACCAGAGGAGACTGTGGAGCACTTTTTCAACAAGAGAGATTTTGAAAATGAAACCTGTAAGATGCTATCTATGCAGTCAGTTTGTTTCCATCTGTGCCACTTGGACTCTAGCATTTCAAGCCCTGGACCCTGGGTAGGATGGAGCTGTCCTGGCCAGGGACGGGGGCCAACGTGGGGAGGGTGAGGAAGAGAGCAGTTTGGTAATCTATAAACACTTGTCAAAACCCTGCAACAAAGAAAACAAACAATACTTGGTGGGAAATAAAATGGAAAGATGGGTACTAGAAGTCAGAGAGTGCTTGAGCTCAAAGAAGACGAAGATCCCCACTGGCAGGAGAGGTCAAGGTGGCTCCTAAGAGGAGTGGGGGCTGTGCTGTCCTGAGATCAGAGAGCACCCAGACAGAGCGAGACACAGTGAGTCCTTAGGCGGAAAGGAAGGGACCTGGCAGGGAATAGGAATTCTCCGTTGGAGCAGGGCGTTTTGAACCCCATCCATTGTTAAGCTGGGGCTAATCAGTTCAGTTAACAGAAACATGAAACGTAGGATAGAGTTGCAAGATGCCTCTTTGAGGCAATTTGTTTTGTGTAAAAGCAAAATTTTTGGTAAATCAATTTTTTTAATGTTTTTTAAAAATCTATTCCTGCTCAGCCCTAGATGTGTAGTTGGCTCAGGTACAAATCCATACCCAATCCCAGCCCTAAAGGATCTTACATTCCTGCAGTGCAGATGCACAAATACAATTAAACCAATAACAAGAGGTTTTCTCTCTGGTGGTGGGAAAATTACAATATTTTTTATAGCGTCTAGAGCAACATGATTTTGTATTTATTCCCTGTTTTAAAATGTAGTTTTTGTTATCATTCAGGTATGGTGAAGCCAACAGATCAGGAGACCGCTGCCATTGAAGAGATACGTCTGTTACTCACAGACGTCTGTTAGTCACAGAAGAGGAGATGGGAGATGTGTCATGTCGTGGGAGCCACACAGAGAAGCACCAGGGTTAGTCAGGAGGCAGAGGGTGCAAGAAAAAAATATGGGCAAGAGGCTTTATTCTGCTTCCCTGGGAGGAACAGATGAGATGGAGTAAGCAGACTTAGGATTGGCTAGTTTGAATAATTTCAGCGGTCTCCAGGGTGTAGGGGCTGTTTCTAGTTGTCTTGTACCTGGCTCTGGGGTGATTGGGGCAGATGGCTGAGAGTGTTAAGAGGAATGGGAGGTGCAGCTCTGGATTGGTTAAGCTACACATGAAAGGCACACTCGCAGGTGAGTTGTTTGTTATCTCTAGCAATTAACTAGCCCCAAGAGGGGCAGTCTCTCTAAGGTCACCAAGGCCCCCGGTAACAAAGTATCAGAAATACGAAAAATAAAAAGGCATGATTAAAACATTATCCAAGTATTTACTGGGCACCTTGTATGTGCCTAGCACTGCCACTGGGCCTGTGGATTTTCAGAAAACTTGTAGACTTGCCCATCACCTGAGAGAGCTCCCACCCTCTTTAGCGGTTACTTAACAATTTAAGAATTAGTTATATTCGTCAGCTTGGGCTAGAATCACAAAATACTATAGACTCAGGAGTAAACAACAGAAATTTATTTTTCATAGCTCTGGAGGCTAGGAAGTCCAGGATCTTGATGTTTCCACATAGTGGAAAGAGAGTTCTTTCTTTTTTCTTTTCTTTTTTTTTTTTTTTTTTTCGACAGAGTCTCACTCTGTTGCCCAGGCTGGAGTGCAGTGGTGCCATCTCGGCTCACTGCAACCTCTGCCTCCCAGGTTCAAGCAATTCTCATGCCTCAGCCATCCAAGTAGCTAGCAGGTAGCTAGGATTACAGGCGCATGCCACCACACCCAGCCAATTGTTGTCGTTGTTGTTGTTGTTTTGTATTTTTAGTAGAGACAGGGTTTTGCCATATTGGGCAGGCTGGTCTGGAACTCCTGGCCTCAACTGATCTGCCTGCCTCAGCCTCCCAAAGTCCTGGGATTACCGGTGGGAGCCACTGCGCCCAGCTTCTTCTATTATAAAGCCACTAATATCACCCTCATGATGTCCTAAAGGTTCCGTCTCCAAATACCATCACATTGGTGATTAAGGCTTCAACATACAAATTTCGGGGGGGACAAAAACATTCAGTAAATAACACTAGCAATTCAAAAATATATCAGTATGAATATTGCAAATCAGTATTTCTCAAACCTCAGTAATAGATGGACCCTTCTGAAAGAAAAATATTTTTCACAGATCTCCAGTGTTGACTTAAATTATTTTTTGTTATGTTACTTAAGTCTATGCAAACAGAAAATGATTTATAAAATATTTATACTTACAGATTAAAATCACAACATAACAATTATATACAAATAAAAATACAAAATCAATAAAATGTAAAATGGTGTGTATTTAGTGTAATAATTGATAATGCTTTACATAAACTTGATTGACACTCTTGGGAATTTTAGTGGAAAAATGAATTTGAACATTTCCTTTTTCACTTGTTCCCAATATGGATACAATTTTTGTATTTAATTTTTTTTCTCATGCCACCTTCTCTAAGATGGATCTGATTCTGAACATGACAAGTCATATTTTGAATCATTGTCACTGAGTTCATTATCACCACTGTGTTAATCACCAGGTGAGTTTCAATGAATTCACTTTTAATCACCGATGCACTATTTTGATAGATAATCAACTTAGTAGGAAATGCAAAACTTGGAGAAAAAAGATTTCCATTGACCTACTTAAAATCCATTTACTAGTAGTGAATCGTTACAAGTTGATTTGGACCAAGAGAGAATTCATTAACACCTCTGCTGGCAAAGCCAGCATGGTGCTGCCTGTTACCATTCAGGTTCAGACACTGCCATGTGCCCTTTGATCACTCCAGTTTTCCCTCCACTCTTTTCTGTTTAAGCTTCCTCGAAGCTTTTGTTTATTTAGCCAGCCTGGACATCATTTGACCTTCAGATGGTACCACCAAGGCACTGAAATTTTAAGATGAAACTGAGGCATGTGCATTCAGATGAGACCTAGGCTTATATTATTTTAAAACTTAGCATTGAAATTAGAACATTCTCAGAAAATCTCAGGATGCCTCCTAAAGGATAAATCTGAGTCCTTGGAGGTCCACGGATCCCAGTTTGAGGAATGGAGCACAGTCTGGATGAAAGAAGGAGATTGGTAAAATCTGATAAGGTCATGGAAGGCTTTGGAACAAGGATATAGTTGAAGCTAAGTGGGAAGACAAGAAGGATCTAGAAAGACAAGCAGAAGAGAGGACTTCTACTATCCATCTTGATAGTAATACAGGTTATCTGTGACTCAGCCAACCTCATCTGATGCAATATGGATATTTATGAATCAATTGACCCAATCTGACACCATGCTCCTCTTCTTATCCTATCCCATAAGTCTTCTTTCAGTTGCTATAACTAACAATCAGAGCTGTCTCTTTTAAAGTCATTTGCAGCATTATTTCCCTGGATACAATTCCCAGCCCCTGACACACTTTGTAAGGCTGGCTCCTTCTCTTCAATTAAGTCTTATCCAAAATAAACTTTTTCAGAAAGGTCTTCTCTGACACCTTAATCTTATTAAGTTTCCCCGTATTATTCTTTTACATCATCCTCTATTTTCCTTTGAAGCTTGTATTTCCTTTGAAGCTTCTGTAACAAATTACCACAAACTTAATAATTAAACAATACAAATTTATCCTCTGGAGGTCAGAAGTCCTAAAGTCAGGTTAGCTCCAGGGCTGCGTTCATTCTGGAGGCTCTAGGGGAGAACCTTCATCCTTCCCTTTTCTAGCTCCTAGAGACCACCTGCATTCCTCCGTTTGTGATCTCCTTCCAATTTCAAAGCCAGTGGCATAGCATTCTCCAACCTCTGTCTCTGCAGCCATCATCACTTTGCCTTCTCTGAATTTGACCCTTCAGCCTCTGTTTATAAGGACCCTTGTGACTAGATTGGACCCACCCAGATAATCCAGGATTATCCACTCTCCCCATCTCAAAATCCTTAACTAATCACATTCGCAAAGTCCCTTTGCCACATAAGATAACACATTCTCAGTTCTGTAGAATAGAATGTGGGCATCTTTGGGGGCCATTATTCAGCCTACTACAAGACTGTTATCACAGCTCATAATCCTCTGTTAGTTTACCTTTTCATTGTCTGTCTCACACACCAGACTGTAAATTCTATGGGTGAAAGAACTAGGTATTACAGTGCCAAGTGCATAGCAAATGGTCATGAAACATTTAATAAGTGAGTAAAGAAATAGCAGGATATATGATGGTGGAGCATATGCCCAAGGTAAATTCTAAGGAAGATTGGCAAAGCTATTCCGTCTATGCTAGATTTCACTAAAAAATTGTAAAAAGCAAGCCAGTCTTGCTCAAGATGATTTCCTTTCACTGCTTTAGAGTATATCTCAACCCTAGAGTAGGACTCTAACTGACCAAGTTGGTTCCAGTGTCCACCCCATGGACCAATACTTATGGCCATGAAAATAAGGTGATGTAACAGCACCATCAGAGCCACCAGGGTGGAGTCGGGAGGGGCATGCTTAAAGAGAGGGATGGGATACCAGACAAAAGGAAAGTTAGGGAAACAGGTAGAACCAATTTCTGCCCAATAACACCCAACAATTCCAGCATTGCCATTAAATCATCTTAAATTATTTAGCCTTCTTTCTTTTCTTCTGTATGTTTCTTCCATCTCTAGCTTTTTCCATTTTTATGCCAGTTTTTCTTCATCCTCTATCTTCCCCATTTTTTCCCTTTCCTCCAATATACATGACCCACCCAGTTTAATATATAAAACTGAACTATTTATTTAAATGTATTATATCTACAAAATGAAGCTTTGTATTTCCAGCTATTAATTTTAAAATCAAATGAATTAGCACTTTCTTGGGGTGGGGTGGTAAGAGCCATCAGTTGGAAGCTTGGATCCTTGAGATCTGGTACTAATTCTCTAGCTAGCTGCAAGACCTGGACAAGTCACTTGCCCAAATTTGGCTTTAAATTTCTTCTGTGAAATGAAGAAATTGGTCTAAATGATCTGTAAGATTATAAACACCTCTAGGATTCTGGTACACAAAGGTAAAAATAACTAAAATGGGAGAAGGTTGTTCATAATCAGGAAGGTGGGTTGCATATAAAGTGGGTGGTTGTTTTGTTTTGCTTTTAGAAATTATTGCCATTCAATAATAACGATGAGAATAATTATAGCTTACATTTACTGCATGTTTACCGTGTTATAGGCACTGCTTTAGGCAGTTTATATGTGTTGACTCATTTAATCCTCATTTGGAAATAACTAAAGTACAATCAACAGAAAGATGTTATACCCCTGTATTACAGATTCCCGAAAACAGTCTCTCCCCATGAGCGTTGATCCCCGAATCCAGAGGAATATAACCACTTATTGACCTGAATGCTGTGTTTGTGCCAATCTCATTTAATCCTCACAACAATCAGTAAACAGTAATGTATTTCTCACCTTGGCTGACCATCAGTTTTTGAAAGAAGATGTAATAGATCAAAGATGGCCACAAGTTATTTGCTTCTCTTCTCATCAAGAATGGGGAACTATTTCCCTTTTTCTTGAATCTGGGCTGGTCCCATGACTTACTCTGACCAATCCAAGGAGATAGAAGTTACACAGGACCAAATCTAGACTAAGGCCTTGTCCTGGTGGCTTCTCCCTTTGGATTCTGGGAACCCAAATGACATGCTATAAGGAAGACCAGGCTATTCTGTTGAAGAGAAGCATCACAGGAAGAGGCCCAGGAAGATGGAATGAGAGCTGGAGGGAGAGCGAGGAGATTGGAAGGAAACCAAGCCATGTAGAGGAGTGCTCCAGCCAACAAGCAACCCTCAAGGCCTCAGACATGGGAGAGAGGACTTCTTAGATCATCCAGCCAGCCCATCTACCAACTGAATGCAGCCTCAGGAAAGACCCCAAAGAAGACCATCAAAAGAACTTCTAGTCAACCTTCAAACTCATGAGAAACAATAATAAGTCATTGTTTTAAGGTACTATACTTCTGGGTGGTTTTTAATACAGAATTATAAATACAAAATAGGGACAATGAACTTTCTCATCCCCTCTCTGTTACACAGGTGTCCTGACCCAGTGAGAACAGTAAATGTCAGTATTACTTAATACAACTCAAGGGAGATACAGATATAGACATAGAGAGATAAATATAATAAGGATACTGTTCTCCCACAGAATACAAGGAGTTTAGCCTGGAGTGAAATGGCACTGACTTTAGGTATTGTCTGTGCATGCAAACTAGACAAAGATGAGTAGATGCATTTGGCCATCTTAGCCATCAAAATCAACTGACACATGATCACTTTGGCTGCTACAGTCAGAATCCATCACAAAGAGAAAAGAAAACAGCTGATTTGCCTTGCTATAGTCTCAGCACCCAGTCAACTTCATCTTTTGATTCCACATGGACCTCAGTAGTCTGGCATCTTTGGTCCCACATGATTGTGGGTGACAGAAAGTGACCCCACAGTCACTCACACACAATGGGAAGCTGTGTAGCCCACTATCTGCCTTGTACTTCCACCTTCTGGAACTGTTCTCAACATCATGAACCCCTGGATTGGGATCTTTTTGTCTGTTCCGACCTGCATGCTCTATGCGTGAGTTTTCCTAACTTGTAGATTTTTGCAGCCTGTTCTGATCCCATCTATCTGAGCTTTCAAGTTTAACAAGAATATTCAGGCCTCCAGTTCAGGCCTGCTTAGAGGATAATCCTTTAGCAAACCTATAGCTACCCATGTTCCTGCACCACCCAATCAGCCAGTAGGCACCCTCTGAGCATCTGCTAGGCACACCAGAAACAAAAAGAAGCATTGCACTTGACCCCTCTCCTGCCATCAGAAGCTTCCAAATCAAAAAAGTCCTGTTTTCCATCTCTCCAAAAAGAATATTGGATTCCACTTAATAAATACTCTGGAAAACAGAAAGTTATATCCCATACCTGGACAACCAATTTGCAATGAATCAGAAAACCATAAAATACACCTGACACTAAAATTTTACTGCACAGAAGTCAATCATTTTTTGAGAATTCATGAGACCCTTCAGGATCTTGCAGAGCCTCCAGAATATCATTATAAATATCAGTTATCATTCTGCTTGCAAAGCAGAGAAATGCCAATTAACAGCAATTTCTGATTGACAGAAAGCCAGCTAAACCAGCTCTCACTTGAGGGAAAGAAAGACATAAGCAAAATAGAGAAACTATGCAGAAATTAAAAGGTAGAGGAGAAAGCATATATCTTTTAGAAATGCAAACCTGATCCTTCTGGTCTCCAGGCTTTGGGATGAGGCATGGGGTGAAGAGTGGTTGCTATTTCCAGTGGACAGTGTATCCTCACTAGGTTCTCTCTTTCAGACTCAGGACCCGGGTGGGGTTTCAGGAGGATTCCCTTCCTTTCTTCTTTTGGAACAAAGGCTGCTGGCCATTTGGAAAAGATGAAATTTTTCTCATATCCAAAGCGGGGAGCCGGGCAAGGAACTACTGAGAGGAAATCTATGCATCAATGTTAGAAATGAAGAAGCTGGCTGGGCATGGTGGTGTACACCTGTAATCCCAGCACTTTGAGAGGCCAAGGCATGAGGATCACTTGAGGATAGGAGTTCAAGACCAGCCTAGCCAACATAGTGAGATCCCGTTTTTACAAGAAATAGTAACATTAGCTGAGTGTGGTAGCACATGCCTGTAGTACCAGCTACTCAGGAGGCTGAGTTAGGAGGATTGCTTGAGTTGGAGGTTGAGGCTGCAGTGAGCCATGATGACACCACTGTACTCCAGCCTGGGCGAGAGAGTGAGACCTTGTCTCAAACCAAAAGAGAAAGAAAGAAATGCAAAAACTAGTCCAAAAAAAAAATGTTTATAGACTATAATGTGACCAGAGTCATTGCACCAAAATGTTAATGGCACCCAGCTGAGTTCTGGAAATAAATTTCGGAGAAATGTCCAAAAACCAGAGTGAAGGATTTATCTTCCCACAGAATTATTTAAGGCCTCTAATTTGTTGAAAAAGGAATTACTGGCTCAAGACTTTGCAAGGCTGCAGTAATTAAACTAACAAATTATAAGTACATTTATCTGGATAAAAGATATTCATCACCCTCCGGATATGACTGCCATATTTCACTGCTCAGCGTTCAAAATTTTTCTAACTGAGCATCTGTCTTCTCTGTGCTTCAGGAAGAGTTTGATAAGAAAGGAAGGACCCCTAATTCAAGTCCTGTCTTTCCATACCCTGAATGACAAGCCACATGGATGGCTTCAGGTTTCAGGGAGAAGGGAAGGGGGAAGGGAGGTCTGATCCATTTTAATGCCTGCAGCAACAGGAAATTAAATCTTCTATGCAAAGCTCTGTGGCCAGCATAAGATATGAGAAGAAATACCTAAGTGTGCTTATAAATGAGAAAGGTCAAAGACTTATTTTTCTTGTTCACCTTCATGCAATTTATTGGGAAACTGGCATATCATTACTCAAAAAGATAGAAATGAGACCATTACAGTTTCTTTTACTTCACTGGCTGAGTCAAACTTTGCATTCAGAGCAGTTCCTCATGCCAGGGGTGAGGACATTTTTGCCTCGAGGTTTACCCATGGGTGGAAATTAAAACGATTAAGTCTTGGCACCCTGTCTACATTCCTAGTTAATGATTTGCATGTTATTTAATGATGTCCACAGTGTCACCAGCAAACCTAACAGGCCCACTTGCTAGTCCATCATCCTGATCACTGAAAAAATATTAACTAAGAGCTTCTATTAATGTGCCTTTGGGTTGACCCAGAGTCTTGAAAAGCTCTTTTTAGGTGAAAAACTTGGTCATTGATTCCCTGACTCATCTCACAGTAGTCTGGGGCCTGATGTCCTTGGAAATAAGAATGGGGGGAAAAAAACCAATGCCCAGCATTGCAATGGTCAGCATGTGAATTAATCTTAACTCTGGGCTTCAATGAAGCCATCCAATTTTTCCACCTTAGCTCTCCTGCCCTGTGATTATAGCCATTCCCTGCCAGTGCTACACATAGCTGCACACGCATGCACATGACACCTTAATTTGGTTGGCTGGTGTTAGGGTAAAATAAAGCTATTAGAGTGGGCCCTAATCTAATACAACTGGTGTCTTTACAAGAAGAGGGGATTAGGACACAGGCAGGCACAGAGGAAAGACCATGTGAAGACACAGCAAGAAGGTGGCCATCTACAAGCCAAGAAGGGAGATGTCAGAAGAAACCAGCTCTACTGACAACTGCATCTTGGACTTCTAGCCTCCAGAACGTTGAGAAAATATATTTCTGTTGCTTAAGCCCAGTCTGTGGTACTTTGGTACAGCAGCCCTAGAAAACGAATACAATTGATTTGTCCTTCAATCTGCCTGAATGAGTTTACCTTCCCTAGAATATAATCTAAGTAAGGTCATTCCTGGTTGCTGGCTCTGAAGGGCAGGTAAATTAGATCAATGTGGCCTGGAGGGGACCAGGACCAGGATGACAGTCTGAACTGCTCAAGGAACCTGGATCATCAGCTTCTTCTCTGTATCAGCACCTGCTGGGCTGCTAGAAAGGTGATCAGGAGATTCAGCAGGGCTGGGAGCTGTGACCCAATTGGATCCCTAAATTGAGCACCTCAAGCCAAATGCAAGAGGACTGAAAAATGGATGCCAGGTCTGATTTTCGCTAATTGCCTATTTTAAGAGCTTATATTCACAATGACATGGTTGCAAAAACATTCTAATGAAATATTGGGATAAAAGGATTAGTGAGGTGAAGCAGAGTCATAGCACATCAAAAAATTTTGCTCAGTTCTAGAAGCCACATCTCAGCCAGGTAGTGAAAAACTAAAGAACAGTCAGCATGGCAATATTTGGAAAACATGGCATATAAGAAGCAGTTTTGGGAAATGAGAGTGTTTATTCTGAAAGTGGGATGTTTTAAAGGGAACAAGACCGCTGTCTTTAATGCTCACATGGCTCTCTTGTGGTCGTAGAGATAGACTATTTCTTTAATACCCCAGGGTAAAACCAACACCAAAAGGAAGACATCACTGGGGAGGATTTCAATAAGTTTTAACAATAATATACTGGAATCCTGAGTTTGAGTTAGTTTTGAAGTCATTTTGATCATTTAAGAATGATTAAAAATCATTCAGTCAATAAATACTTATCAAGCATTTACCATATGTAGAGTTCTGGGCTGACATATGTGGAGGATTTCTGTGGGGGGAATTGATTCTTTCCATATTCCGCTGGTCATGGTAAGGTTGTCAGATAACAAAGCCTAGTTCAAACTATGTACAGCCACAGAGTAGGGCATGTGACCCAGGCAGAACCAGTCATAGCACCTCACACCCCGGGAGCAGTGAATGGCCAAGAAGAATGAATAATCCAAGCAGGTTAAATTCAGCCCTGAATTCATTTATAGATGAAGGGAGAGGCACATGCACTCATGCACATGTGTGCACATGCTCACACATGTGTCTTTTCCCAAAATGTTTGCTAAACTGGGAAGATGTAAACCTGAAGCTTTCAGTAGCCATTTTCCTACCAAAAAGACATAAGGGGAGAAAAAGATAATCTAAAAATACAGTTTGAGTTCCCAAATCTCACCGATGATTCCCTCCTTCTTTTGATTGGTGGGCACAAGTCTACCTTAAACTAAATTTCTCTTACTTTCAACCAGAAGAGTCTTGATTAGCACAAGTTGATACTTTTTGAATGAATAAGTTGTTTTGGAGGAAATCCAGCAGTATAATACATAGTCCTTGCATCAATAAGTTTACAAAATTGACTTAATAAATCCTATTAGATGGAATAGATGGCTGGATACATAGATGGGCAGCTAAAGTTGTAGACAATAGGTGTGATCAGAGTTCAGAGAAGAGAAAAGCGTCTATAAGACCTAGCTGTTAGGGATGGTTTCAGGAAGGAGGAAGAATTTGAAGAGCCCTAAGGATATATAGGATTTGAAGAGGTCAATAGAGGTGAAGCTGGGAAAAGAAGAGGGATACCCACCACAGGTGGGGGCAATGGGTGTGTGCAAAGGCCCAAGAAGGGACATGGGACATTTGTGGATCAGAGAATAGACCTGGTTACTCCAGAGTTGAGGATTCACAGAGAAGGTAAATGGAAGACAGCATTGGACAGGTCAATTAGACCAGATACTTGAATTCCTCAAACACTAGATAAAGGTGTTTGAACAGTATCAAAACACTGAAGATTCTTGAACAAAGAGTGGTGTAATGAAAGTGGGATTTCAGGGTACAAAATTTGATAAGTGTCCACTATGAATCTGGAAGCCAGGCTGGGAAGATAAAGAGTGCCCCACCCAAGGAGACGATTCTGAAGCCCTCTGACTGTGATCATGAAGATCCGAGCGGACGGGCTCTACGCACAGAGGAAACAAGGGGTTAAACCTGAGCTATCCATTTTTGCAATGTCTCTTAGGACACATTTCCAGGACTCACTGACAGATAAAAACCCAAAGGACACAACGAGGTGGATTTCATTTTAGCTCCTCCTGCCCAGGACCAGATTAAATTGTGCTCATTTGGTTTCTCTGGCTGTCATGCCACCAGCGAGGCAGAGTCCTGAATCAACTTGCACAGATTCCCAAACGAGTTAACATTTTTAATCAGGAAAGGTCTATAAAACATACTGGCCCCATCACTGTGGATTACACATGCATTTTCTAAGCAAATACCCAGTAACCTACCTTGAGAATATAGAAAGAAAACTTAAATATCATTTTGGAATAACTTTCTGAGAGCACAAGTGAATAACCATTATCAGCCAAAATCCAGAGAAAATACTATTTGGATATTGCTGCAGGGCTCAGGAACTGATTCAGAAAGAAGTGTTTCTGCATTCAACCATTTAATAAGAAAATATTTGTTGAAGACTTACAGTGAGTTACACTAAAATACAGCAAAAACATTTATAGAGGACAATCCAGCTTCCAATTCATATATTTCACCTGATTTTAGCCCTTCCATAATACATTTGGGTAGACAGAGCTGATGTGATGACCTCAAATTTTAGGTAAGGACAACTTGAGGCTCGGAGAAGAGACTTATCCAAAATCTCTCAATAGGCAGTGTTGAACCCAGGCTTGGAATCCAACCGCTTTGACTCTGAGTCCAGAGGACTTTACACTGCACCAACAGAATACAGAGGCAGGGGAGTCAGGGGTCACTGCAGCACTCACTGCAAGGCCGGGACATGCCCTATCATACAGCGAGAATGAAAAGGTAAAAGCTCTGCTGCAAGCCAGCTGTGTGACCTGAGGTGAGCCACTTCCCCTCTCTGGTGTCATCTGGAAAACAAGACCAGGAGTCCAGTATAGAAAACTCCAAGAATACAAGAACTGAAAACAGAACCCACGAAGCTCTGCACTCTAATCTACCAGAGGAGTGGGAGTGAGTGGGGCCAGGATTTCCACCTCAGAACCATAACAGTGTTTGCTCTAAAACCCCCAAAAAGCCCTATGGGAAATAACTTACCCTAAAGAAAGAGAGATTCTGGGAGTTGAGGAGAAGGGTAAGAGTTGAAGGAGATTTTCAGTATCACACAATGTCTGTCTCTGAGCCTCCTCCAACTCATGCCTGAGCTCTAAAAAGGATACAGTAAATCATAAGAATGAGGAGGAGGATTGAGTGAAAGCTGAAAGAGCTGTGTTAGTCAAGCCTCTGTGAGACAAGGAGTATCAGCGTGTGACGTGGGCAAGCCGCTCACTGCAAGCCTCCGTTTTCTCACTTGAAAATGGGATGGCTAAACTATGTACCTCACAGGATTGTTGTAAGGATTCAATGCAGGAATGCACAAAGCACGTGGCAAAAATGCCTGGCACATGGTAATACATAATTCTTATATTTTATGATATAGCTGTTATTAATATGGCTTCCCTGTTTTGTAGCCTGGTGACAAAGTGTGGCACAAATGATTTCTGTTTGAGGTTTCCAGCAGACAGCTCCTGTTTTGGCTTTGCCTGAATCCCTCTTTCTCATTCCAGAACCTCTCTTTCCTTGAGGAAACCCATTCTGGGGGCTGGACAGGACCAGCACAACCCCCTTCAGTCACAAAGAAGGCAGATAGCCAGGTCTGGCCAATCAGAGCTTCTCATTCACTTAGCCACACTGATGAGTTCTGGAAAGGGCAGGTGATCCCAGCAAAGCCCATCGAAATCCCCTCATAAAAGTTGATACATGGATTCTGGGAGAAAGAGAGGTCTTTCTCCAGGACTCAGAACTGAAACTAGAATATGGGCTTAGAGCAGCTCCAAGAGCAAAGCTTTGTGAGAAAGAAAGCCAGGAGAGTTCATGCACAGCCAAGAAGAGTGCTCAGTCCAAGGAGCCGCAAGGTCCAGCTGCCTATGAATGTGGCTCCCTTCTTGGACTTTCCAGTTAGGTGAGCCAATAATGCCCCTACTGTGTTGAGAGCAGCTAGCATTGGTTTCAGTCTCTTTCACTCGAGAGTCCTACTATTTCAGATGGCTGCTGGCATAGTTGGAGCTCAGAATGGACCTGGCAGCCTGAGCACCAAGGAACCTCCACATAGAACTGACAAGACACCTGGTGATTGAGGACTGAGGGGGATGCAACAGCCCACCTGCATTTTGGCAGATCCCGTAGCACATTACACCATAGCAAGCAAGAGAAGAAAGCAGGAGATGGCAGAAGCCAGGTGTCATTTGAAAGGACTACCTGCCAAGAACAAAATTTAAAGTATACTGAGTTTTCCAATTGTATTTTTCCTATAAAATTCATCTTACTTTACGCTTTTTTATTTTCTTTCCATGTTAGAAGCCATTTGATCTAGCCTTGGGATAGGATTTGGTGTTAACTCCAAAGGAAAGAATGAAAGCATGTGTTCTCCCTCCACGCCCAACTCCTGTGTGAAGGCTGGCTCCATGTCTGCAAAAACTAGGCCTTTTTTACCCTTGAGGAGGGAGAAATGTTTAATGTTGTCGAGATTTGGAGCTTTGTCTTTTGGGCCATTTATGTTCCTCTGTACTTCAGCAAGAACCACATGTTAAATCAAGTTTAACCTAAAACTGCCTCCTTACATATTTTAGGCTTGGCCTAAAGGTTTCTCCATGCATAGGGAACTGTAACCTAACTGGATATGTAAACAGACTATAACCTACTCTTGTGCCAATCAGCAAATGTCAACCAAAGGCAGCCAACTGTTCAAACCACGTTCAAATAAGGCAAATGCTGAGCAGTAACCGATCTGGCTGTTTTTGCACCTCACTTCCATTTTCTAAATATTGCTTTCCTTTTTCTGTCCATAAATCTTCTTCCACCATATGGTTGCACTGGAGTCTCTCTGAGCCTACTGTGGCTCCAGAGGTTGCCCAATTCACAAGTCATTTTTTTTCTCAATTAAACTCTGTTATATTTAATTTGTCTAAGATTTTTCTGTTTACACATGTGATAGAAAAGAAAGAAAGAGGGATATTGCAGGTTGAAAGAATAAAGAGGATTTGGGCTGGAACCAACTGGAGTAGGGAGAGACCAAATAAAATAGGTTCTCTGTCAAAATCCAGAGCCTTCACCCTTGTTTGATAGTAAGTATCTTCCCCCAGGAAGTCAGAATAAGCAAACAGTGAGAGAAACCACTGGGAGCAATACTTTCCAGTGCCCTAAAGCCAGCCTAAGACCAAGACCCGATTCTGGCCACTGAGGCCAGGGACACTCATCAGGTTCCTGTTGATGGGTGCATGGGAATATCACTGAGCCAGCATCCAGAAGCTCACCAATGATCCAGGTCTATTATGAGATGCAGCCAAGCCTGGTCTGTGCCTCAGGTCATCAGAGGCCACATAATTTGACAACGGTGGAGATACTTCCCATCGTCCCTTAGTCCAAGGACACCAATAGACCCCTCTTAGAAAGGAGGATGCTATGGAAAGGAGCTCCGTAGCTGTGTCTTCAGGCCACCCTGGATACCCAAGATGTCCAGAGAAGAGAGACTAGAGTGGACTAATAAGCATCAAATGATTATTAGTAAAGCATGGAAAAACACTCACAGGACACCCAAAGGGCAACGAGGGACCTATAGGCAGTCTGTGTGTTTATTGCAATTTCTCATTGCCTAAAGCAGTAGGCTTCAAAATTTTGTAATGGAAAACCAATTCAGTAAAAATTCTGAAAGCTCATTCCCTAATTTTATATATATATGCATATATATGTACTTATTTATAGATTATGCACATATGTAATTGTTCTAATAATATATATATTATAACACTCGTTTTAAAAAAGATATTTTTGAAAAGTATAATAAAGAAGCCAATAACATTTCTACTAAATATCTTGCTGAATTTACTATTGGCCAATATACATTTAGGTTAAGGTTTGACAGTAGCAACAGTGGATATAAATTCGTATTTTAAATAATCTTCTCGATTTCTATTTTGGGGGCCAACTTCTTGTGAGATGATTCCATTGCCACTGTTTTTACCTCGTGTGGGGTTTGACAAAGACCTCGCACTAGAAATAGAGGGGTTTGCTCTGCCATCTGCCCATACTCTGCCTGTTGTTTGTATTAGTGCTACCTTCAATCTGCAGTTTCATTTCAGAATTCTTTCAGCTACTTGTCAATTTTGTGCAGGTTAAATGAGATATGACCAAATAAAACAATCTGTGGATACATTTAGCCAGGCAAATGTACAGAAAAATACACTAGAAACAGGCAAAGGAGTGGAGTGGAGCCTCTGTTTATCCTTCAGAATACTTCAAGTCCTGTATGACTCATGGCTGCTCACCATATGGACTAAATGAGGTGAAGGTGCAATGTCACTCTGTAGATAAATACCAGGCAATGTTTCACTTGCTTTTTTAGCATACATAAATAAGTTTTACTATTTTCCCACAGTCTAGTGAGTCATTTGCCACAGCCCCACCCACTTTGGAGATTCCATCACAGGAATCACTGCCTAGATGCTGGCAGTGGCTGTCACCTCCCAGCACCTCTCTCCTTCTCACCTGTCCCACAGCTGCCATGACCAAATCTTTGTTACCTATGCAATAAAGTCCAGATTCTTTCACATTTACAGAAACTGTTGCACCAGACTGCTGTATCTTTCCAGCCTTATCCCTTTCACCTTTTCCCACATAAACTCTACAGCACCAGCAATCACTTCTCCAGCAGTCCAGATTCTTTTAGGTCTTTGCAATTGTTCTTTTCTCCTCCAGGAGTGTCTTCCTTTAACTTTGCCTTCCTAAAAATCTCCAACTCATTTTTCCACCCCCAGGTCACATTCTACCCACTCTGTTATCTTTGGAATCATGTCCACGAATTCAAAGTACAATGACAGTCACATTCTCTTTCCTTTTTCTAGTTAATTATTTTAACACTCACCTTCCGTTTGAGACTTCTCCATAACCTTGTTTTTTTTCTAACAAATCAAAGGGGCTAATTCATCCCTGAAAAGGGCAATCCACTGCCAAGCCAAGTAGAGAGAATTGGAGTCTGATCCTTCCTGCTGCTGTTACCTCTCCTTGCCTTGTTGTGTTGTCCTGGAAACCTTGGATACTTGTTCACTCCATACACATTTTACAGCCACTTGTCCCCTGTACACAATCCAATGAATTCATGACCATGTTGCTGTTATGCTCCAGCTGGGCCAAGCCCCCTCAGACGCCCCACACTTGGACTCCAGGGGCACCTTCCTTATGTTCACACCCATACAATTATCCACTGCCCCAAAGCTCAAATCCTCCAAAGGTGATGGGTCCTGAGAGGCTTCCAACTTCAGTGATACGCTGAGTCAAACCAGGCTCCCAATACACTTGGCTCTTTGGATTGAAACCAGTCACAAGTATGGACAACTCTTTTCTTCACAGCAATCCTGCCACCCATTCCTGCCACCCACTCCTGCCACCACCACTAGTTTTCTAACTACCCTAGGCTCCTTTAGCAAACTGATTATCAATTTTCTTTTTTTAGACCAGGTCTAACTCTGTTGCCCAGGCTGGAGTGCAGTGGCATGATCTCAGCTCACTGCAGCCTCAAACTCCTGGGCTCAAGCGATTCTGCCACCTCAGCCTCCCAAGTAGCTGGGACTACAGCCACCACGCCTGGCCACCTTCTGAACTACCAATTCTGCATCCCAAGCAGTGAGACAACTTCTGCAGAGCCCCTCACAAAAACAAGAGTCTTGCTCCACCTTTGTCTCCGAGCACCTTTAAACTGGAGCAGGGCCCTTGTTTCAATCAGCTTAAACTGCTGTGACAAAGGACCACAGACTGGGTGGCTTAAGCAACAGAAATTTACTTTCTCACAGTGCTGGAAACTGGATGTCCAAGATCATCGTGCAAGAAAATTCAGTTTCTAGTGAGGCCTCTCTTCCTGGCTTGTGACAGCCACCTTCTTGCCATGTCATCAAATGGCCTCTTCTCTGTACACATGGACAGCAATCTCTGACGTCTCTTCCTCTTCATATAAGAACACCAGTCCTAGGCCCAGTGCAGTGGCTCACACCTGTAACCCCAGCACTTTGGGAGGCCAAGGCAGGCAGATCACCTGAGGTCAGGAGTTCAAGACCAGCCTGGCCAATGTGGTGAAACCCTGTCTCTACTAAAATAACAAAAATTAGCCAGGTGAGGTGGTGTGCACCTGTAATCCCAGCTACTCAAGAGGCTGAGGCAGGAGAATCACTGGAACCCAGGAGGCAGAGGTTGCAGTGAGCCGAGATCATGCCACTGTACTCCAGCCTGGGCAACAGAGCGAGACTCTGTCCCCCCCAGAAAAAAACACCAGTCCTGTCAGATTAGGGCCCTACCCTTATGACCTCATTTAACCTTAATTACTTTCCTAAAGGCCCTACCTCAAGATCTAGTTACTTTGGGGGGTTAGGACTTCAACACAGGAATTTGTGAGGGGACACAAGTCAGTCCATAGCAGCCTTCAATATCTGTATTAAGTTCTCCCTAGATTGAAAGCAGCTGGCAGCATACTGGACTGAAGAAAAAAAGAAATTAACCTTCAAAAGAACATCAATCCCCACCTCACATATGTAAGGCTTTCCTGACCACCTCAACATGCAGCCCACAAAGAATTAGATACTCCGTCTTCTATGTGGCCATACCACTTGCTTCATAGGTCGTGTTATGGGTGGAACTGTGTCCACCCAAAAATTCATATCTTGAAGTCTAACCCCAGTCCCTCAGAATGTGACCGTATTTGGAGACCACACCTTTACCAAGATGATTAACTGAAAATGAGGTCATTAGGTGGCCTCTAATCCAGTATGACTGGTGTCCTTAGAAGAAGAGGAAATGTGGACACAGATACACACAGAGAAAAGATGAAGTGAAAACACAGGGAAAAGATGACCCATCTACAGGCCAAAGAGAGAGAACTCAGAAGAAAACAGCCCTACCAATACCTTGATCTCAGATTTCTAGCCTCCAGAACTATAAGAAAAAATGTCTGTGGTTTAAGTCACCCACTCTGTGGTTACTTACCTTGCTACAACTTAACTTGTTACTGCAGCTCTGGCAGACTAGTATGGATCAGTTTTCTCTATTTGGAAGTAAACTTCTGAACAACTAGGTTATATGCACCTTTGTAATTTCTAGGGTCTTGCACAGTGCCTGGTCTATTCTAAAGCCTCCTGTATGTTTGTTGATAAAAAGAGGGAAGGATGGGGCGGGAGAGAAGGAGGGTGATGGGGCCCTGAGTCCTGGAAATTGCCACCTGTGTTCTGAGTTTTTAAAGCTGTATTCTACTCATGCTGCAAGGAATCACCTGGCAATTTATGATTTTTTTCCTCTTCTCTGGCTTCTGTCCATATTTACATAAATTATGGGTGAGTCAGAACATGTGGAGGGCTTACTGTGGGCAGAGAACTATGGTAAAAATACAAGAGATGGCTATAGCAGGGTCTAGCAGTGCTGTCCAACAGAAATACAATGTGAGCCACATACGCAGCTTTAAATTTTCTAGTGGACACATTAAAACAGTTTAAAAGGAAGTAGGTGAAATTAATTTTAATAATACTTTTTTATTTAACCCAATATATCCAAAATATTATCAGTTCAACATATAAGCAATATTTTTAAAATATGAGATATTTTACCTTCTTTTTTTTTTGTCTTCAAAATCCAGGATGTGTTTTATACCTACCACAAATTCTGCACTGTAATTCTGACTAGCCACATTTCAAGGGCTCACAGCCCACATGTGCCTTGTGGTGACTGTATTGACCAGCACTAGAGGGCCAATGGTTAAGGACACAGACTTTGGACTCAGACAGGCATAGGTTTGCATCTTGATCCATCACTGACTAACTCAATTTCTCTATGCCTCAGTTTCTGCATCTTTAAAATGGAGCTAATACTACCACCACTTAGGGCTAATATGAGGATCAAATGAAATAATCTGCCTAAAGCCCTCAGCAGACTGTCTGACGCAGCAGCTTCATGGCCACTGTGTGCCAGGCTCTCTGCTATGTAATTTACCTGGTTAATATTGAAGAGATTGTACCAGTTACTTTTAATGATTAGTGCTGAGGTGACAAGAGCTGAAGCAATTTCTCCATCAGACAGCAGATGAATAATCTCCCTCTAACTTGGTTTTTCCACCTATAAAATAGAAATAATGAGTAAATCTGCCACTAAAAATAAAAAGGACCTTCCTGTTTAAGTAGCATGATACCTCAAAATGTTAGCTTGAGATTCTTCGGCTTACAACACTAGACCACAGCAATAAAGACAAAAGTTACAGCCTTCTCGACTTTGCATGTACTTTCTGATTAGTTCACTTTAATACTCCCCTAGGCACAGAAATAATTCTGGGAGTTGAAATCCCTCAAGCTGACCTGAGTCCTATAGTGCTTTTTTTTTTTTTTTTTTAAGAAAGTGATCTTCTCCAAATTCATTCAGCCACTATTTCTGAATTATGAGTGCATAAAAAGAGATACACCTTTTCGTGTGAGGTCTCATAATTCACCCTCACCTAACACAGTTGATAAATGCAAGCAGGCAACTCCCTGTTAAAATATATGGAATAGATATATTACTGTATCTACTGTATATTTTCATTTTGGCAGGCAATGAGTTCTCCTTCACCTTATGATAATAAATTGCAAAACCTCATCCATATCGTAACATTAAATAACAGGATACAAATAAATCATTGTAATGATATTTGTTCCTTGTAACTACTTTCAGTTTTGGATCTCAAAGCCCTTTACTAACACAAATTAATTAGCTCTTGCGCCACAGGAGATTAGTTTTAATATACTGCTATAAATTATAATACGGGAATACCATAAAAATTATTCATATACACTCATTTCTTTATAAAGGTTCAAAGAACTAAAACCAGTTGTTCTCAACAGGAGGCAATCTAGTCCCCCAGAGGGCATTTGGCAATGTCTAGAGATACTCTTGATTGTCACAACTGGGCAGGGAGGGAGGTGCTACTGGTTCTACTGGGTAGAGACCAAGGATGCTGCTAAACATTCTATAATGACCAGGACAGCTCCTCACAAGAAAGAATTATCTGGTACAAAATGTCAATAATGCCAAGACTGAGAACGCCTAATCTAAAGAAACATGTTCTTCTTATAGGGAGAGTAGGAGATTTCTTTGTTTCTTACTTTGCTAAAGATATTTCCTCAATTCATAGGTGAGGTGATTGCCACTGAGAAGTAGCCCAACTAGATTCAAACATCAACTCATTAACTATGAAACAAAAATCTAAGACAAGAACTGACATTTGAGAAGACCAAGTTACTAGATAAAAATGTCTCATAATCAACCAATCAGAGAATCAGCAAGAAAGGAACACCCACCCCCAACACCTCTCCTCAAAAAAGAAATGACCCATTGGCTTCACACAGAGGATCACTTTTTCCATATACCTATACTACATTCCTGACCACAATTAGCTATCTCAAAATGTTTGTCATTATTTATATGAGGACCAGGCACAGGAGTGGGATGTTGCTGATGTAGGGCAAACCATGCCGTTGCACAAGTTCTATTGATGGCAGGACAAGAAACACCTTCAGGTTACAATGCTGAGCACTTTTTGAAGAAGACTAAGGAGCGGTTGATATGGATGTGTGTGTTTGCGTGTGTGTAATTCTTTCTGATTTCTTCCTTTCTGTCTTTTCCTATGTGAAATACTGGTTCAACATCTTGCTAGTGGATGTGAAAGTTGCCTTGAATTTTCTTCTCGTGTAGTTGCAAATCACCTCCTCCACATTTTCCAACTTTCCTACTTGATTATGTGGGGAAATAGATGATACATTCCTGAGGTAGACCATAAATAAAATAGACAGTAGTCACAGGAGACTTTAGATATTTGGAAATGGAAATCTCATTCAAATAAAAACAGAACATATGACTCATTTAGCAGTCTGTCCCCCAGAGAATAAAAGAAGCTGCTAAAGAAACTGCTGTTCTGCACCTAATTCTTGCTCATGGAAAGAAAGCTATTGGCAAAATAAAAGTGTGGTATTGTTGAGGAAAAAGTATCCTGTCATTTTAGAACCATAAAAGAAACTTTGGGCATAATCAGATATAAGCCCTAGCATTTTCAATTTCAGAAAGTTAAGAAAAGATGATTATAATTCCATGATAAAAGATTTTTTTAATGGGGTCTGGTTTTTGCCAAGGCTGGAGTGCAGCGGCACAATCTTGGCTCACTGCAACCCCCACCTCCCGGGCCCAAGCAATCCTCCTACCTCAGCCTCCCAAGTAGCTGAGACCACAGGTGCACGCCACCATGCCCAGCTAATTTTTTTGTATTTTTGGTAGAAACAGGGTTGCACCACGCTTCCCAGGCTTGTCTCAAACTCCTGAGCTCAAGCTATCTGCCCACTTCAGCTTTCCAAAGCGCTGGGATTACAGGCGTGAGCCACCATGCCTGGCTCCATGATAAAAGATTTTGAAGAAGACATGGCTCACAAAGACTGGAAAGTTCTCAGAAATGCTATTCTGACTTCATAATTAGCAAATTATCTTAATGAAGAAGGAAAGATAAAAACATTCAGAGAAATCAAAGTATTTCTAAAGAAGGTGAAGTTCTAAAGGAGAAATATAAAAGATGAAAGGACATATCAGATGTAATCTTGTTGACCCTATGGTGCTTGCAAACAAAGCTGAATGTGTATAGGGCTTTCAGGAGGGGAATTTGTCTCAACAAGATGAGCTCCATTGCCCCTGGTCTATGGTTTGATCAATAATTCTTAGTCCCTGGTGTGTTTCCTTAGCTGCAGATCTCAAATCTCTGAGAAAATCATGGCTGCTCATTTGTTGTGGAAGTGAGTTAAAGAGTAAAACACAGTTATACAAACTGAAAACAGAAATAAAAGAGAGAAATTATGGAAGAAATTATATGAAAGTAAAAGGTAAGAAAGTAAGGGTATTAAAATGAGACCTGAATAAGTGGAAAGAGATACCATCTTCATGGATAGAAATATTCAGTATGAGAAGGTTCCAGTTTCCAAACAAATTAAATGCAATTCTAATTGAAATCCCAAAAGATTTGTTTAAATTAAACTGAATTTAAGTTATGACTTAAAATGATTTTAAATTATACTGAAATTAAGATTGACAAGCAAAAAGCCAAAAATAGTTAAGACAATTTTGAAGAAGAATAATAACATAGAGGATTCTTACTCTACCACATATAAAGACTTATTATATATAGCACTTACTGTTGTATTGACCAGAGATAGGCAAGTCAATTAGTGAAGTATCATAGAGAGCCCAGATATAGACCCATATATTAAGCTTATATAAAAACATATATTAAAAATGTTTTAAACAAAACAGAAAGATGGCCAGGCACAGTGGCTCACTCTATCCCAGCACTTTGGGAGGCCAAGGTGGAAGGATCACTTGAGCTCAGGAGTTCAGGACCAGCCTGGGCAACATGGCAAAACTCCGTCTCTTCCAAAAATAAAAAATATTAGCTGGGTATGGTGACATGTGCCTGTGGTCCCAGCTACTCAGGAGGCTAAGGTGGGAGGATCACTTGAGCCTGGGAGGCAGAGATTGCAGTGAGCAATTCCAATGAAGATCGTGCCACTTCACTCCAGTTTGGGTGACAGAGTGAGACCCCAACTCAAAAAAAAAAAAAAAGAAATATCATTACAAATCAGTGGAGAGAAGATTGACTCTTCAATAAATCGTTCCAGGAAGGACCATTAGTTTTCCTATTCAGAGGAAAAAAGGTAGTTTCTGCAAATTGCACAGTACTCAAAAAGCAATTTCAAGGTTATTAAGTACCTAAATGATATAAAGTTAAACTTGAAACTTTGAAGAAAGTGTAGGAACACATTTTTCTTACCTTGAAATAGGGAGGAATTATTTTAAAAAGATTCCCAACTCAAAAATCGTAGGGGTAAAAAGACCTATTTGATGCATTCATTCAAAACATAGTTGCAACACAAGCAACCTAAAAATAATTAATATCCAGTTACAACAAAAATAACATAAAAGCTATTATTAATAATACTTAATAGTAGTACCTAAGGAAAAGAATACACTTGAAGAATGGACCAAGGTTAGAAACAATGGCCTAGGAATATATAAAAGAATGAATCTCACAGTAATCAGGTAAATGCAAAGGAAGGTAGCCATGTGATATACCATCTCACATCCAATGACATTGCGAAAAATTAAAATCTGTTTACACCAAAAGCTGGCAAGATGGAACACTCATATACTGAAATGGGCATGTAAGTTGTTCATCAACTTTGTAAGGCAATTTAGAAGAATCTTGTTAAATTGAAGACACTCATATCTAAGACTCAAGCAATTCCACTTCTAAGTGTATAGCCTAGGGAAACATTCTCAAGTGTTCTCAAGAAGATATGTACAATAGTGTTTATAATAGTGTAAGTGATAGAAACAATCTAATGTCTATCATGGGACAATAGTGTTTATAATCGCATAAACACTGGAAACATCTAATGTCCATCAATGGGAGATGCAATATAAAAATAATTTTTAAAATTTATACCACAAACACTACGCAGCTTAAACTATAAAAAGTTAAATCGGAGGCTGGGTGCAGTGGCTCACATCTGTAATCCTAGCACTTTGGGAGGCTGAGGCGGGTGGATTGCCTGAGGTCAGGAGTTAGAGACCAGCCTGGCCAACATAGTGGAACCTCGTCTCTACCAAAAATATAAAAAATTAGCTGGGCGTGATGGTGGGTGCCTGTAATCCCAGCTGCTTGGGAGGCTGAGGCAGGAGAATCGCTTGAACCCAGGAGGTGGAGGTTGCAGTGAGCCAAGATCGCACCATTGCACTCCAGCCTGCGCAAAAAGAGTGAAACTCTGCCTCAAAAAAAAAAAAAAAAAAGTTAAATCAACCTGAATGCATCTCAAAAAAAAGTTGAACAACGAAAGAAAAAGTAGATAAATTGGACTTTATAAAACTTAAAGACTTTTCTTGCTTCAAATGACACCATCAAGAAAGTGAAAAGACAACCCACAGAATGGGAGAAAATATTTGCAAGTCATATAACCTATTAAAAGTTTTGTATCCAGAATGTGTAAAAAATTGTTACCACTTAATACTAAAAAGGCAAATAACCCAATTAAAATATGGGCAAAGGACATTAATCGACATTTCTCCAAAGAAGATATAGAAAAAGGCAATATACACATGAAAAGGTTCTCAACATCATAGGCCATCAAGAAAATGTAAATCAAAATCATATAATGAACCACTTCACATGCACTAGAATGGCTATCATCAAAAAGGCAGATAATCACAAATGTTGGTGAGGATGTGGAGAAATTGGAGCCCTCATACACTGCTGGTAGTAATGTAAAATGTTGCAGCCACTTTGGAAAAGAATCTGGCAATTCCTCAAAATGTTAAACACAACATTGCTATATGACCCAGCAACTCCACTCCCATCTATATACCCAAGAGAAATGAAAATGTGTTCATACAAAAACCTGCAAGAGTGGTCATAGCAGCATTATTCATAATAGCCAAAAGGTAGAAATCTAGGCGTGTCAACTGGTGAATTGATAAAATGTGGAAAATCCATACAATGAAATATCCAAAGGTAAAAATATATATAATATCCGATAATGAAGTACTGATCCATGCTACAACATAGATGAACCATGAAAACATTATACTAAGTGAAAGAAGCCAGCTGCAAAGGACCATATATTGTATTATTCTCTTCATATGAAAAGACCAGAATAGACAAATCTATAGAGGCAGAAAATAGCTTAATGGTTAATGCCCCCAGGGAGAGGGGGCAATGGGACACCATCGCTAATAGAAACAAGGTCTCTTTTGAGGATGATGATAATGTTTTAAAATTGTAAATATACTAAAAACATTGATTAAATCGGTGAATTGTATGGTGTGTCTCAATAAAGCTGTTCTTTGAGGAAAAACAAAGGACAATGAAGCCAAATTCAATGTGGTTTATTTCTGGATGAATCCCAAAACAGAAAAGGGACATTAATGGAAAAACTAGTAGAATCTTTTTTTTTTTTTTTTTGAGATGGAGTCTCACTCTGTTGCCCAGGCTGGAGTGCAGTAGAACGATCTCAGCTCACTGCAACCTCCACCTCCGTGGTTCAAGTGATTCTCCTGTCTCAGCCTCCCAAGTAGCTGGGATTACAGATGCCCACCACCACACCCGGCTAATTTTTGTATTTTCAGTAGAGATGGGATTTCGCCATGTTGGCCAGGCTGGTCTTGAAGTTCTGACCTCAGGTGATCTGCCTACCTTGGCCTCCCAAAGTGCTGGGAATACAGGCATGAGGCACCATGCCCAGCAAAACTAGTAGAATCTTAATAAAATCTGTAATTTAGTTCAGATGCACATGCCACCACAGCTGGCTAATTTTTTATATTTTTGGTAGAGATGGGGTTTCACCATGTTGGCCAGGTCTCAAACCCCTGACCTCAAGTGACCCATCCGCCTCAGCCTCCCAATGTGCTGGGATTACAGGCATGAGCCACCATGCCCGGCAAAACTAGTAGAATCTTAATAAAGTCTGGAATTTAGTTCAGATACTCTAACAATGTTGGCTTCTTAGCTTTGACAAACGTACCTGGTAATGTAAGTTGGGAATAGTAAGAGACGCCTGCTAAAGGGTATACAAGAACTCTCTGTACTCTTTGCCAACTTTCTGTAAATCTAAAATAATTTCAAAATAAAAAGATTATGTTTTAAATGTTAAGCAAAAGAAAATGTAGAATGAACATTTCATTATAACAACATTCAAATAACATTTACAAACATGGGAAACTATATTGTTTGGGGACACAAACATGCTCATGGATATTTTCATGTCCTATAATTACATATATAAATCATAGGACATGAAAATATTCATAAGCATGATAAACCAAATTCAGAACAGTGGTTACCTCTGGACAGGAAGAGAGTGAAATGGGAACTAGAAAACATGGTAATACTTTTCTTTTTAATTAAAAATAATTCTAGGCCGGGCATGGTGGCTGATGCCTATAATCCCAGCACTTTGGGAGGCCGAGGTGGGCGGATCACCTGAGGTCAGAACTTCAAGACCAGCCTGGCCAACATGGGGAAACCCCGTCTCTACTAAAAATACAAAAATTAGCTGGGCGTGGTGGTGGACATCTGTAATCCCAGCTACTCCAGAGGCTGAGGCTGGAGAATTGCTTGAACCCGGGAGACGGAGGTTGCAGTGAGCTGAGATGGTGCCATTGCACTCTAGCCTGGGTGACAAGAGCAAAATTCCATCTCAAAAAATAAAACAAAATAAAATAAAATAATTCTAAAGCAAATATGACAAATTAATAAGTTAAACAAATGTGGTGGTATGTATCCAGGCATTTATTGTATCATCCTTTACATCTTGATATATTTGAAATATTTTCTTTTAGAAAAAACTATAATGAATTGGGCAACATTTAAAGACACCTCACATCTCAAGTAATGTTAGCAGAGTATGAAGGCATGATAACGATTTTCATTATCATCGTAAAGGTAATACAAGGATTATATATGATTAGGATTTTGGTAAATAAGATGGCATATAACTACTAAGAATAGCTATTCATTTGTAAGAAGAACACACAAATTAGTCATAATAGACCACTTAGTTTTATGTTCAGTGCCCTCAGTGCCTGAAATTGTATATGTTATGACCTTGGGTGAGCCATCTAACCCCTTCACCTCTCCAGTTTCTCCATGGTAAAATGGAAATAATATTACCTCTCACACTATTGGACGATTAAATGAGGCAATCCATGTAAACTGGGTTAATCCCATGGTCTGCCCACCATGGGACATTTGGCAATATCTGGAGATATTTTGAGTTGCCACAAATTGGGAAGCAGGAATGCTCCTCGCGTCTAGTGAGCAGAGACCAGGGATGCTGCTGAACATCCTACAGTGCACAGAGCAGCCAACAGCCCCCCCAGAAAGAATTATCCTGTCCCAAATGCCAATAGTGCCAAGGTCAAGAAACCCTAATGTAGAACATTAACATAGTGCCTGGCGCATGGACTGCACTCTGCTGTTAGCTGCCATATTATCATCATCATCACTGTTGTAATATAACACCAGGAGAGGTCTGAACACACTGGCACCTGGACGTATCTCCTTTCGCCTTTTTAATAAGTGTTTAAATTGGACCTAACAGAGTCTGTACTGCAGCTGGGAAGACTAGCGTGTCTTTGGAATATAAGAGGTGTCATTTTTCTCCTTTGCTTGCAGCTCTGAGCTGCTCTTCCCTTCCCATCCACTTTCATTTCTTATTTCCACTTTGTAGCTGCATTAATTAACCCTGCAAAGGGTTTTAGGCATCCATTGATAGAAAGGACGTTTGCTTTCAAAGATAAAGCTATGTCATTACCAAGCCTCCGCTGCACACCACGGAAAAACAGCCTTCAGAGAGAGCTGCTCTGGGCAAACAGCGGCAAATTATCCATTGTTAACCTTGGGCTGCCTTTAAAAGAAAACATTTTAAGAGGAAAGAAAAACAAAGACAAAACAAACAATGGTCATGTAAGTTCTGTACCCACTTGCAGGGTCAGTACAAGAAAGATCCGCCTCTCCTGGACCAATATTTAAACTGCAGAGCTAGAGTATAGTAGGTCAACCCACTGCCCCATCTAAATGGTGTGGGTGTGAGCACCTAGCCCCATTTTCTATACAGAGACACCCTTCTCTATAAAACAACAGCAAATCTTATATGCAAATTTGCCACTCCCTCAAAAAAAAAGAGCATTTTGAACAATAAATAAAACCAAAAACATTCATAAACTTAAGAGAGGGTTTCCATCTCTTGTTCCCTACCTTCTTTTCTCACAAACCACAATGAAGAGCAGCCTGCAGGGCCTGTACCTACAAATTTTGATTAAGTAGTTTTCCACTGAGATAGAGAGAAATATTAGCATATTCTGGGTTTTAAAGACAAGCCATGAGCTCGTCTGTTATGTCAGCAACGCTTTTAATTCTGTGACAAGTGTCTTCCCACAGTGAGCTCACCACATTTTTCTTTCCCTTTTGTTTCTAGAGCTGGATATTAGGAGAGGATCCCTGGAGAGAGGCCAACTCCACCCTTAATGACTATGAGAAAAGAATTTCCTGAAAGTATTCATATTTTCCCCCCAGGGGAGATGTCCGACATACCTAGAAAGAGGAGCTCAGAAATTCAACGTGTGAATAGGAAAAGTAAAGAGGGCTAGGGGAAGCATCAGAGTCAAGCTGAGGCCAAGCCCAAGGTGGGAAATAGAATCGAAGGGAAGAGGATGACCACAGAATGTTCTCTTGGGCCAGGCATGGTGGCTCACACCTGTAATCCCAGCACTTTGGCAGGCCAAGGTAGGTGGTTTCCAGAGCTCAGGAGTCTGAGACCAGCCCAGGCAACATGGTGAAACCCTGTCTCTACTAAAAATACAAAAAATTAGCTGGGTGTGGTGGCGTGCGCCTGTAGTCCCAGCTACTTTGGAGGCTGAGGCAAGAGAACTGCTTGAACCCAGGAGGCAGAGGTTGCAGTGAGCCGAGATTGCACCACTGCACACCAGCCTGGGCAACAGAGTGAGACTCTGTCTAAAAAAAAAAAAAAAAATGTTTTCTTGAGATTTATAGTCAAAGTTGTCACCCAACAGAGCTAGTAAATTGGTGTGGGGTTCCCCCTGTTTCTGGGATAAGAATAGAATGGACTCTACACAGAATGTTCATTTTGGAACCTGTATCCCTCCCTCCCTCCTCTGTGAATATCCTCAAACCTCCTCTCTGCTGGCCCCATCTGATCTCTCCTTCCTGGCCCATTTCTCCCAGGAAGCCTCTATAACCACCTCAGCCAAGACCATTGCACTCTGCCTCTCCCCAGCATCCAGGAGATTATACTCATTGATTATATTAGAATGTGATTATATTTGACTTATCAGCTGCCTAAATGCTGACTGGTATTATTCTCTGGTCATTTCTTATCACTAAAATTGTTTTCCCACAGATTTCCGGGTCAGAGATTATCTCTTAACTTTTTTCTTTTCATTCTGTAGAGCACAATGCTAGCTAAACTCTAAAATAATGTTGGACAAATTGGATTGAATTGAATAAATCAGGGGTCATATGGCCTGGCTTTGTTACTACTCTTGCACTTATATCTGACATGTGTAGGCATGAGTGTGCATAGATGTGTTCGGAGGGACAAGGTGGATATGTGGACAGTTCTCCAACTCGTGCCACAAACCCGGAAATTGTCAGATTTCCATACTAAGGTTGTCTACCATTAGGCCCCCTCTTCTAAAATGAGAAGATAGTGACTAAAGAGAGTTAAAGCGGGGGCAGTAGGACACAGGGAAAAGGAGGAGGGAATAAAAACAAGTTTCCCCCCTTTCTTCATCTCTTTCCTGAGCTCCAACCTGCTGGGTGTTTCCTTTGCTATCATGAACAGGATAATGGCCTCAAAAGATGTCCACATCCTAGTCCCCAGAACCTGTGAATAGGGTATGTTACACAGCAAAGAAGAATAAAGGTTGCAGGTGAAATTAAGTTGCTTTTCAGCTAACTTTAAAATCAGAAAGATCATCCTGGATTACCCAAGTGAGCCCAACATACTCACAAGGGTCTTTTAAAGTGGGAGAGGGAGGCAGAGGAGTGAGAGGCAGAGAGAGGTGTGAAGATGCTCTGCGGCTGGCGTTGAGGATGGAGGAAGGAGCCACAAGCCAAGGAGTGGGGTGGCCTTGAGAAGTTGGAAAAGGCAATGTGGACCCTCCTCGAGAGACTCCAGAAGGGACACAGCCCTGCCCATTCCTTAGTTTTCACCCAGTGATTATAAGATAATAACTTTGGCTTTAATGTCAATGCATACTGCTATAAATGCATAGCCTCAACTAGTTAATGCTATTTTCTAACCACCAGGAGATGTCAGGCCTAAACACCAGTTCTACCATGAAAAGAATGAATTAAATCTACCAAGAGGCCAAAGGCAACTGCTGAATCAAAAACAGAGGTCCAAATGACTAGCTAAATGCCATCACCCCTATCCCCACCTATGATTCTATCCAGGGTAGGTCTTTCTTCAGAGCCTTGATTACCCTCACTGCTGCAGACTATCTCCCACCAAGCTATATGAACACTGAGATCCCTAAGTTGCCAGGAGCCACTAATGACTCTCAAGGATGCTGCCAGGAAAAATTCTCATTCTTCAGACTCTAGATTTTCCCCTCTTGTCACGATATATTCATACACACAAATCAAGATCCTGATGCAGTAATTCCATTTATATAATTTAAGAAACAACTTTGGGCCGGGCGCAGTGGCTCACACCTATAATCCCAGCACTTTGGGAAGCCAAGGCAGGTGGATCATGAAGTCAGGAGTTCGAGACCAGCCTGGCCAAGATGGTGAAACCCCGTCTCTACTAAAAATACAAAAATTAGGTGGCTGCGGTGGTGGGTGCCTGTAATCCCAATTACTCGGGAGGCTGAGGCAGGAGAATCACTTGAACAGGCAGGCAGAGGTTGCAGTGAACCGAGATCACGCCACTGAACTCTAGCCTGGGTGACAGAGCAAGACTCCGTCTCAAAAAATAATAATAATAATAATAATAATAATAATAATAATAACTTTGTGTTGTTTCAAGTCACTAAATTTATGGTCATTTGTGAGAGCAGCTATAGGAAATTAATATATTCACTGATGTATCAAACTCACCATGAGGGCACTGACTCTAAAGCAAGGTCCTGGGCCCACTTCAGATCCACTTCATCAGAATCTCTGAAAGGTAGAAACTTGAAAGCCCCTAATGAGTCTTATACACACTGCATGTGGAAAACCCCAGCCAAAAGAGAAGGCCTGCTGGCCAGGAGACCTGTTCCTCACTGGCTGCAGGACGTGCACAAGTCACTTCCCCACTGGAGGTCTATTTCTTCTTCAGAGCTCAAGCTGACCCCACTGTCCTCCTTGTCTTAATACTGTTAGGGTGTTAAGTTGCAGTTGAGACCTCAATTTAACACAAATTTCCATGTTTCTTTGTTTAAGTGTCCTCTTCCTGGCTACATTGTAAACTATAATTCCAAACCTAACAAAATGTAGGACACAGGACACACAAAAATATGCTGGACATCCCTAATCATTAGAAAAGTGCAAATTAAAACCACAATGACATACACCTCATACCCATCAGGAGGGAGGGAGGAAGGAAGGAAGGAAGGAAGGAAGGAAGGAAGGAAGGAAGGAAGGAAGGGAGGAAGGAAGGTTGGTTTGGTAAGGATATGGAAAAATTGGAACCGTTGTGTACTGTTGGTGGGAATGTAAAATGATGCAGCCACTACAGAAAACAGTAGAGTAGTTCAACAAAAACTAAAAATAAAATTGTCATATGATCCAGCAACTCCAATTCTGGGTATATAACCCAGAGAATTAAAAGCAGGATCTCCAACGATATTTGTACACCCATGTTCATAGTAGCATTATTGTTGATAACCAAAAAGTGGAAGCAGACCGGGGGCAGTGGCTCACACCTGTAATCCCAGCACTTTGGAAGGCCAAGACGGGTGGATCACTTGAGGTGAGGAGCTCGAGACCAGCCTGGCCAACATGGTGAAACCTCATCTCTACTAAAAATCCAAAAAAAAACAAAAACAAAAAAAAATTTAGCAGGGTGTCGTGGTGCACGCCTGTTATCCCAATTACTCAGGAGGCGGAGGCAGGAGAATCACTTGAACCTGGGAAGCAGAGGTTGCAGTAAGCTGAAATCGTGCTACTGCACTCCAGCCTCCTGGGTGACTGAGTGAGACTCTGTCTCAAAAAAAAAAAAAAAAAAAAAAAGGTGGAAGCAAACCTAGTGTCCATCAACAGATGGATAAGTAAATGTGGTACATACGTATAATGAAATATAATTTGGCCTTAAAGGAAGGAAATTCTGGCATTCTACAACATGAATGAACTTTGAGAACATTGTGCTAAGTGAAATAAGCTAGTCACAAAAGAAAATGCTGTAAGATTCCACTTATATGAGTTACCTAAGGGTAGTCAAATTCATAGACACAGAAAGTAGAATGGTAGTTGTCAGGGACTGGAAGAAGAGGAGAATGGGAAGTTACTGTTTAATAGGTAGAGAGATTCCATCGTATAAGACGAAAAGAGTTCTGGAGCTTGATGGTGCTGATAACACAACAATGTGAATGTACTTAATGCTATTGAACTGTACACTTAGAAATGGTTAAAATGATGCATTTTGTGTAATGTGGAATATACAACAATGAATTTTTTTTTAAATGTAGACCACAAGAATGGTACTCACTAACTCTGCAGTTTAAATGTAGACCCTACAAGGGCTAAATAAATGTTAGTTAGCTGACGTTGGAGGAAGGAGAAATATAAGGGTTGAGCTTTTGCTTCCCCCAGAATAAAGCAAAATGTGGCTGAGCCCGAATCCCACTGCTGTCCTCATGTCACCATCATCTCCGACAGACAAGGCAAACATCCCTGTGTGTTTCCCCACACCCTCCTCAGTTCTGGGTCTGTGAGTTCTCTCCATTCACAGGAAAACAATACTCCTCACTGCAGACTCACTGTGTGGGGGACACAGCATAGGCCATGCTGGGCTCGTGTCTGTCACAAGTATTACACTGGAGGGATGGGAAAGAGTGACACTGGACGGAATCATCCCCCTGCCTTCTCAGCCCAGACTCCACATTTATCCATGAGCACGCCAGCTGAGTCACATCCTCTGCTTTCTAATTAACCTCTTAGCCCACCCAAGTTAGAGGTAAATTTATTTAGACTCAAAGTCGATAATGATACGCCTGTTTAATTAGACATTTTATCTACTACCTTCATTGAAGTTTATCCTTGTTGGAAAGAGCTATTAATTTAATCGCTATCTCCCAATCACAACCAAGCATAGATTTCAATTGCTATAGGCACTTAAATCCACAGCAGAAGAGGAAAAAATCTACAAATCTACAAATCTATAAATGACCAATCCTAAGTGAGTTCAGTTAACAAAGCAGAGACGAGATAGGATTCGATCAAATTGGGCAATAGATGAACGACGGTGGGCAGAGCTGATGCTGTCTGCCGGCAGCACTGGGATGTGACCGGGTCTTATTTGGGTCAGTCTCTTGGCCTTGGCAGTCCCTGCTGTGCTGCTTTATCTCTACATGGTTTCTGAGCACTGCTCAAAGCCCTTCTTAAACATCACCCTGTCCTGTGGCCAGAAAGGCTGCAAGAGATGATCTCAGAGATGGGGACAGTGAGGTCCAGAGACAGTGAGCAACTTGGCAAAAAGCCAGATACACTCAGGGACTGGGCTGGGGATGGAATTCAAGCCCCAACCCTTAGCCCAAAGCTCTTCCCACTCCATGGTCCCACCTCTCTGCCCACACACAGCACACTTTACCCTTGTATTTTAATAAGCATCCAATATTATACAATTCTATGCAAATCAACTAGGAACAAGCAGTCAGTGCAATCACTCATTAATGATCTTCCATTAGTTTACTCTTGTCTTTGGTCTAGCTGTATGTTTCTGGGTCCCTGCCAGGCTTGCGGGCCACCTCTGCACAAAGGCAGGCATGGCTCTTTGGTTCCAGAGTCCCCTAAAAATAAGACCTCACAGATACAAGACCTTTCTTCTAAGGATCTAGAAACATGGATTTATTTTTTCATTTTGATGAGGCAAAAAGAGGTTGCATGAATATAATGCTGGGCTTGGTGGTTAAACACCAACCTGTGCAGCAGAGAGCACTCACCAGAACCCTCGTGCTCCAGGATCACAGAGCAGGAGAAACAAGGAAGGGGCCATAACTCAAGAAGCATCTGTGCACAGCAGAGCAGGTGCCTGCTGAGAAGCCAGGGGTGTCAGATGAGTCCACAGCTGCGAGCGCCCTGCACTCTCCACTCATCAGCACGAAACCAGACAAGGCCCAGTAATTGCTTTTCTAGGCTTCATTTCAAAAGTCGATTTCTTCAGATAGTGAATAGTTTGAGAGAGGCCACTATCCCAGGAATAGAAAAGAGGAGTGTATGTGTACGTGCAGATGTGTGTATGGGTGTGTGCTTGGTGGTGGTGGGATGGGAAGTGGGGAAGGAGGGAGATGGAAATGGCAGTTAAGATTCTAAAAAGCAGGCACTTGGAGCTAACTCACTGGCTGAACCAATTGCTGGTAATCAAAGGGAATGCAATTAATGGATGCTGAGCTCACAGAGCCACGAGGAACGTAAAGTTAAGGTCTGTATTCTAGCCTTCACTCACCACATGTTTCATGCCTCATTTTCAATTACCCGTTAGGCAATTAACTATGCAGCTTAAATGAAATGTGTGGAATTCAGGAGAGATTAAACCTGATAGACTCAGCTAGTAAAGCTTTAGCATTCAGAAGTTTAATGAGATGATAATGGGGAAGAAACTGCCCTAACCCTTGCTAACCCAGGCTATACCAAGTCTATCATGCAATGTCGAGAATATGCAGCAACCACATAGCACTCAGGCAGAGTAGATGCTTCCACAAAGCCTGAGACACCTGATCTTCTGGGAGCAACCTGTTCTTATCCCCTTTACCCCAACCTCCTGCTTTCTCAGACCCTCCCAAGAATAACAGGAAAATGTAGCTCTCAACAAATCTTAATATTTGGGAGATTTTGTGTATTCGCTTTGTTTTGGTTGAGCTACTCACAGACAGTTTTTTCCTCTCCCAAATTACTTAACTTTTTTCTTACTCATTTTTTTCTAAACTAGCAAACAGATGTTCTTGATGAGATAGCTAATTTTTTTAAGTGAGCCATTTATCAATTGTCTTTAAGGAAAATGGGCTTCTGGGGATGGTATTGAGTGTAAATACCAGAGACATGAATTGGCTCTCTACTCTGTCCATCAGACTAGCTAGATGATCTTGCAAAAGTCACTTAACTGTTTGTACAATTATGCATTCATTCATGCGACAAATATTTACCACACACCAACCATGGCCAAAAAAAAAAAAAAAGACCATGTTAGGTATTATGTAAGGAGGTAGAAAGATATAAAGGATGGGATCCCCAAGGAGATCAAAGTCTCTGTGTGAGATTCAGTATCTGCTATGTGTCAAAGCCAAGCACAAATAAAGTGTGACAGGAATTCAGGGAGAAATCCTTCTGGTGGTAGGAGATCCCAAAAGACTCAATAGAGGAGACTACACTTCAGCTGAACTTTGAAGAATAAATGAGGTTCAGAAGGCAGAAAAGGAAGTGGAAGGTGAAGAGCAAAGCCTGAAGCAGGGCAGAATAATACAAAATATGTTCAGAAACTAGAGGTGGGAGACTTTCTTGGTCAGGCTGAGACATTGAGACCCTGGTATTTCAGGTAGAATAAAGCAAAGGAAAGCAGAGAGCAGGAGACCAGTTTGCAGGCTGATGGACCAGGTCAGATGTCAGCTAAGACATGACCCAGTGGGAGGGCAGTGGAAGCAGAAAGAAATGGACTGAAGCAAGAAACATAAATAGAAGTATTTCTCCCAATTCCAGAAGTCACCTTGGGAATACGGAGGATATTAAAGATGCCTGACATTGTCAGGAAGGTGTTGAGGATCATTATGGTAATGACATTAAGAGTTTAGGCTGGCTGGGGTGGAACATTTCTCATATATATATATTTTGAGACAGAGTCTCAGTCTGTCGCCCGGGCTGGAGTGCAGTGGCACGATCTCAGCTCACTGCAACCTCCACCTCCTAGTTCAAACGATTCTCCTGCCTCAGCCTCCTGAGTAGCTGGGATTACAGGTGCCCACCACCATACCTGGCTAATTTTTGTTATTTTTAATAGAGATGGGGTTTTACCACATTGTCCAGGATGGTCTCAAACTCCTGACCTCAAGCGATCTCTCGCCTCGGCTTCCCAAAGTGCTGCGATCAACGGCGTGAGCCACCGCACCGTTTCTCCATTTTAGAATACTGGAGATTTCTGTGTTAGCCAAACCTCCTGAGGAGGCCGACAGGAATTTAAATGAAGGGCTATAGTTTAAAATAAATCACAGCCTCCATCTCCTCATCTGCCAACTGATGGTTTAGACCAGCTCAGTAAGTTCGCACCCTGGATGCCCATTAGAATGTCCTGGGAACTTTCTGAAAACACAGATGTCCAGGCGGCACCCCAGACCAACTAAGGCAGAATCGTTAGAGGTGAGAGGTCCCAGTGGGCAGTCCCTGGGGGAGAGTGCTTGGAAGGAAATGCCCAGCCCTTTGATGATTCTTCTTTTTCACCTTCTGTATAGACTGTGGGAGGAAAAGAGTTCAGTGACTTTTACTCAAATTGACCAAAATATAAAACAGATTTACCTTTGATCAAGAATCTTCAATAGAGAGAAATACCTTACTAAGTATTCCAAAATGAAGGCTTGTTTCTATGTTCTGTAATCCCCCTACTGGAGGCATTTTTTTTTCTTTCCCCAGAGAGAGCTACAGAAAAGAAGGATTAAAAGGAAAAGAATCCTGAGTCTGGAATCTTGGAGGTGTTGCAAGTCAGGGCAGGTTGAGACTTGTGCTGCAGACACAGCCATTTCTCCACTACGGCCTCACTGACCATCCCCCACACATTCTTTATTCCTTATGATGTGGAAATCTCTTTCCATCTAGTTTCTTATTTGCTCCTAAAACCACTCTGTGAGTTAGATTATTAATGTTCATTTTATCAATGGGAAACAAAGGCTTGAAGATAAGAGTGGACCTTGCCCACATCCCCCCATTAGTAAAGCCAGGATTGGAAAGGACACAGGCCTGAAGGCTGGATTCTTCCCCCACCTTCTGCTGCCTCCACAGAACTGGAAATGTCAGGAATCTAATGGACACATCGATGATAATTCAAAAGTAAAGATTTCTTAACTAAACATTCTCCCCATCAGCCTGTGAACTATTTCCTTCACCAAACTTAGAGCTGGAACTCAAAGTATGGAGCAAGACTGGCTGGCTTTAATTATTTTCCCCTGCATCTCCTCTGTTCTTTCCTCCACCCAGTGGCAGAGACGCCTAGGAGCCTGAAACTTGGAAAATGCAGGCAGAGCCGAAAGACAGAGAAGCAAGCAATATGTATCACTCAGAAGCTGAATAATCTTGTCTCTTGACCAGGTCTTAGCTGCATAGGAAAGGCTGAGGAAAGCCTGTCTGGAGTAGTGCAGATGTGTCCAACCACAGGAGTCCCTTTGGTATGTGGCAGGTACTCAAACATTTGCTGAACAAGAATTGAGGATTCCACTCCGGAGACTTCACACTATCTTGTCAAGAAAAACACAACTAGTCTTTAACTCCCCTCCCCCAAAAAACTCTAAATTGTATGTCATTTACATAATTTTTTTTTTGAGATGGCGTCTCTCTCTGTCGCCCAGGCTGGAGTGCAGTGGCCAGATCTCAGCTCACCGCACCTCCGCCTTCCGGATTCAATCGATTTTCCCGCCTCAGCCTCCCGAGTAGCTGGGATTACATGTGCCTGCCACCAGGCACGGCTAATTTCTGTATTTTTAGTAGACGGGATTTTCACCATGTTGGCCAGGCTGGTCTCAAACTCCTGACCTCAGGCAATCCACCCTCTTCGGCCTCCCAAAGTGCTGGGATTACAGGTGTAAGCCACCACGCCCAGTACATTTACATAAATTAACATACCATATCATATGGTTTGGCTGTGTCCCCACCCAAATTTCATCTTGAATTGTAACTCCCACAATTCCCACGTGTCTGGGAAGAACCCAGTGGGAGGTGATTGAATTATGGGGGCGGGTCTTTCCTGCACTGCTCTCGTGATAGAGAATGAGTTTCATGAGATCTGATGGTTCTAAAAACGGGCGTATACTTGCGTAAATTCTCTCTGCTGATGCCATGTAGGAAGTGCCTTTTGCCTTCCGCCATGATTGTGAGGTCTCCCCAGCCATTGAACTGTGAGTCCAATAAACCTATTTTCTTCCCAGTCTTTATCGGCAGTGTGAAAACAGACTAATATACTGTAGATAAGTCAATACATGCTGTCACAACCAGAGAGAAGCATATGGTTCACATCATTCTCTCAGGAATCAGTGGGTTTCAAGGAACAGAAATCCACTCAACTGGCTGGGTGAAGGGGCTCAGGCCTGAATCCCAGCACTTTGGGAGGCTGAGGCAAGCAGATCACTTGAGCTCAGGGGTTCGAGACCAGCCTGGCCAACGTGGTGAAACCTCGTTTCTACTAAAAAAAAAAAAAAAAAAAAAACACATACAAAAATTAGCAGGGTGTGGTGGCATGGGCCTGTAGTCCCAGTTACTCTGGAGGCTTGAACCGGGGGAGACAGAGGCTGCAGTGAGCTGAGATCATACCACTGCACTCCAGCCTGGGCAACAGAGCAAGACTTTTCATCTCAAATAAAAAATAAATAAATAAATCCATCCGACTGTGGATTCCAATCAAAAAGAAATGCCTTGTAGGACATGCAAAAATTCCTGCCCTGGAAACAGACCTTGTTCTACCTCTCCAGAGCTATGTGTTTTTTCCCAGATCTTGCTCTCTCCTCTCCATTTCTCTTTGAGCTGCATTATAGACACAAGCCTATGTCAACTGGACCTTTCAGGACCCCTTCACTCTCTCTGTCTCCAGTTTCAAATTCTCAAAAGAGAGAATCTGATTGGATGCTGGCCAACAAGTGGATTGGCTGGACTCTGGTCAGGCATCCACCACAGATCCAATCAGGGGAGGGGAGGGAGCATGGTACAAACAAAGTCTACCTGGATCCCACTTCTCCTTCCACCCAGACTACTGGTGGGGAGAGTAGTTTCTAGTAAAGAAGGCTGTGGGTAGGACAAGAATCTCCAGAAATTTCTATTGTGGTCGTTATCCCATATAATTCTAAGAAGTCATTTGAATTAAGTTACCTCAAATAAAGACCAAGTGTGTGAGTCCCTGTATCTCCTTTTTTTTTCTTTTTTTTTTTTTTTTTTGAGATGGGGTCTCTGTCTGTCGCCCAGGCTGGAGCACAGTGGTGTGATCTCGGCTCACTACAACCTCCACGGCCTCCCAAAGTGCTGGGATTACAGGCGTGAGCCACTGCACCCCACCCCTGTATCTCCTTGAATCTGCATCCTGAGTAGCTGGGCATGCACCCTATGCTGTATCTCCCAGTGCACACTAGGAGACTAATTACCTTTTAAAGCTATTAATGTGTTCCAGGTGAGTTGGACCTTAAGGGCTGACTGCAGTAGGTGGTTTTAATCTTTAAAAAAAATTTTTTTGAAGTAAATCTACTTATACTCCCATGTTAACTGATGTAAATGACACACAATTTAGATATGTGATTTTCTGTCAAAGAGCAGCTTCATTTTTCTTACTAGCAGAGAAGCCAGAAGTGAGGAGTTCAGAGAAGATTCTCTAAGTCTTATACAGCAAATATTTGGGTACCTATCATGTGCCAGATACCATGCTAACCTTTGTATAACGTCACTTTATCCTCACAGTCATGCCTCCTCTGAAGGTGTGATCTCCACGGAATAATGAGGAGTCTTTGGCTCAGAAAATTTAAGCGATGGATCTGGGAGAAGAAAAAGATAAGGCCGAGCGTGGTGGCTCATGCCTGTAATCCCAGCACTTTGGGAGGCTGAGGTGGGTGGATCACTTGAGGTCAGGAGTTCGAGACCAGCCTGGACAACATACTGACCCCCCCAGTCTCTACTAAAAATACAAAAAATTAGCTGGGTGTGGTGGTTCACACCTGTAATCCCAGCTACTAGGGAGGCTGAGGCAGGAGAATTGCTTGAACCCATGAGGCAGAGGTTGCAGTGAGCTGAGATCACACCACTGCACTCCAGCCTAGGTGACAGAGTGAGACTCCGTCTCAAAAAAAAAAAAAGAAAGAAAGAAAGAAAGATAAAGATAAATACATGGTGCCTGGCTGCAAAAAAAAAGCTTACACTCCAAAGAGACCAATTAGGGGAGTGGTTCCGTGTGGGCACTAGAGCCAGAGTCCCTGGGGCTATGTTACACTGGGCAAACAATTAACATTGCTATGCCTCAGTGGTAATTTTCATCCCTATTTCACAGAGTTGCTGTAAGAATTAAACAAGTCAAAAAATGAAAAGCACATAGGAAAAAGCCTGACAGGTAGTAAATATTCAAAATACTACTGGTTATTATTGTTATGAAGAATGTGGATAAGAACAACGCAAATGAAGAAATGGCAAATCTCACAAGATACCACATGTTTAGGTGTTAAATTGAGTGCCATGCTCCAAGGAGAGGGAAATAGGTAAGAGCTGATTAGCCTGGAAAGGCTTTATGGGGGAGTTGGAACTTGAGCTAAGCTAGGTCTTAAAGGATGGAGGAGATGTGGGTAGGTGGAGAGAAGTAGGTGGGTGCTCAACCCGAAATCACTGGGGTGCAGCGCATCGACAGCGGTGAGGCAGGGCTGACCAGACCAAACACCCTCTGAGTGTCTGTGTATCTCTGGCCTGAGACTCTAGGAGAAGCAGCACATAACAAATGGATGGGTAGGATGAGCCAGATTATGAGGTGATAGATAGTCAAAAGAAAAGTTTAAGCTTCCTGGGAGCCACTAGAAGTTACTTCATGCATCATGACAAGCCCACCCCAAGACTACTCAAACCCAAAGGTAGTGCCTCCCTTACCCAGGCAAGTCACTTCCCTTCTCTGGGCCTTGGTTTTCCCATCTGTACAATGTGGAGATGGGACCAGAGCAGAGGTGGCCAGCAAGACCTGGGAAGGCGTGAGAAGCCACACATCGTTGTCTCCCGTTTCCTCCCCACCTTTCTCCTGGTCTCAGCATCCACCTCAGCAAAAACTCAAGTTCACAACATAGTTTAGGGCCTTATCTGGAATAACCTGGAGATGCAATGGCCTTTCTACCCCCAATGTCTGCCGTCATTTCTGTAAATTCCAGGTATTTGTCAGGAGGTCTGGGCTGACGTTCTGGCTCCTCCACTGAACAACCTGAGTAACAAGACTGCATCCTCATCTCTCAGGGCCTCCGTGTTGTCAACTGTCAAGTGGGAGAATAATACATGAGCTGTGATTCATGAGATGGCTATGAGGATGATGGGAAAAAGCTCTGAAAACAGGAAAATGCCACATGCTGTTGGGAACAGACATGGGCTTTGGTCTCAGGAAAAGGGCAATGAAGCTGCAGTCGGGCATCCTGGGATCAGGCTGCTGTCACTCAGCAGCTGTGTGACTTGGGTGAGGCCCTATTATGCCTCAGTTTCCTCACCTGTAAAGTAGAGAAAATACCCAAATCATAAGGTTATTTGACAACTGAAGTGGGGCCACATTTAAGACCACTTGTAATTAAATGTGGGATCCGAAGGTAAAACTTCAGTTGTATAAATTCTTTTAAAATTTAAACTGGAAAATATGTATTTGATTTAGGTTTCAGGGAGACTTTCATAAAGTGGATAAAATGTTAAAATTGTGGTTTCTTGGATTCAAGGTGTGTCAGTAGCTTTTCTGCCCAGCTCATGTGCTGTGTAAAAGAGAAGCTCCTCAAACAGTTCAGGAAGAGAGAGCAGTCTGTTGAGAAGACTTGGGTGTGGGAGTTGCAGACAGCCTGGCAGCTGGAAAGACATGTGGCCTCTACACAGCCCAAGGCCACACTTTAGCTGCAGAAGCACTAACAAGCTCAAGAGGGTGGCCTCAATCTTTATAAGGCCTAGGTTTGCATTCATACCACGGCTTTATGTGGAGAGGCTTCAATGAGATAATCCCTGCATGTAGCATAGTCCCTGGATCAAAGAATGCACTCTATACACATTGGCTATTGGTACTGGTTTGGTTCAATTAAACATATTGAGCATCATGCCAGGCACTGATTTAAAAGGTAAGCTGTATTAGTCCTTTCTCACACTGCTGTGAGGACATACCCAACACTGGGTAATTTGTAAAGGAAAGAGGTTTCATGGATTCACAGTTCCACATGGCTGGGGAGGCCTCACAATCATGGCAGAAGGCAAAGGAGGAGCAAAGTCATGTCTTACACGGCGGCAGGCAAGACAGCATGTGCAGGGGAACTGCCATTTATGAAACCATCAGATCTTATGAGACTTATCACTTTCACAATACAACCTGGGAAAAACCCGCCCCCATGATTCAGTTACCTCCCACTGGGTCCCTCCTCTGACGCATGGGGATTATGGGAGCTACCATTCAAGATGAGATTTGGGTGGGGACACAGCCAAACCATATCAGTAAGCCCTAGAGGATATATGCACATAAAGTATTGAGGAACTTACCTGTGCACAAATCCACTCTCAACCTTCTTAAGTTTTGGCCAACAGTCATAAGGAGAATTGTCAGGCCATAAGTGAAATGCCTGTCTCCTATAGATGCAGCTTTGTAAATGTACATTTCATTCCTGGAAAATCATTTATACCATAGAAATACCATACAACATGCAACTGCAGGCATATGCTTTTATAGATCTCTATTAAATATTAAATCCAAATACTTAAAAGTAATCTTGGAAGAGTTATTTTAGGAGACGTTTACAACATGGATTAGACTCAGTGAAGTATCTTAAAATAAGAGTACAATGAAAGTTTAGACGAAAGATGACATCTCTTCCTGGTAAATCTCCCTGAAGCAAGACTAAGCATCTTTACATTGCCCCCAGGATATTTGAACTGCACTCAAAATTGGGAGTCACATGTTTCAAAAACTTTTCCAATTTGATGTTCCCTAATACCACTGAAAGTCTGTGAACAGCATATGCTGGGGAAGGGCCATTTTCCTTGAAGATTTCTTCAGTAATCTCTTGTTCCTTTCACGGATGTTAAATAATAGCTTTAACCCCTGGATGATGCTAGCACTTTAAAACACTTTTTACTACTAACTTGTCTCAGTAAAGCAACTTTCTCAGTTCACATAGCTGCGTACTTAAGATCTCTGTGTCTTCATTTCCTCATGTGTAAAATGGGGATAATTAATAGTGCTACCTCAAAGGATTTTTTAGGATTAATCGTGTTGTTATATATAAAATGTTTACAGCAGTGCCTTGATTTTAAAAAATGTTTAATATGTGTAACCAATGATCATTATTACTACCATTATTGGTGTTATTATACATTTTTTAGCATTGCTTTTTATATATGAACTTACTACTTCCTTCAAACACTTCAGATAGGCCAGTGAGTTCCGTTTCTTAAGTAAACAAACCACCTTCCTTCACTTCCACAGAAAATATTCTTTCTTTGATGTCGTACCAATCTACTTGAAAGCATCTTAAAGAAAAGTGACTTTTTTGGCCAAAGTATTTGCTTAGTAAAAAGGCATATGAGATTTTCTCCCTCATAAAACAGCCCATGGCATTTTTATTACCAATGGCTGCATGGAAAACTGGAGGAAGTCCTTTTGCTATAAGAAACATGGGGAAATCAAAAGTAGTAAGTCCAGCAGTTAGAGGTCAGCACGCACACAGCAGGGCAGCAAAGAGAAATCAGTGACTGAGAGGCCTGAAAACATCCTGCAGCATAGGGGCTTCCCACCCAGCTGCACTTCAGCATCTTCCCCCCAAGACCCTCGCTACTCACAGTGCAGTCTATGGACCACCAGCACCAGCATCACCAGCGAGTGTGGTAGAAATTCAGAATCTCAGGCACCTGGGATCTACTGAATCACAATCTCCATTTTAGCAAGATCCCCAGGTGACTCAGATGCATGCACATTAAAGTTTGAGAAGCAACAGTTTAAGCAACTTTTTAGAAATACCAATGTCAGCTGGGCGTGGTGGCTCACGCTTGTAATCCCAACACTTTAGGAGGCCAAGGCGGGTGGATCACCTGAGATCAGGAGTTTGAGACCAGCCTGGTCAACATGGTGAAACCCTGTCTCTACTAAAAATACAAAAATTAGCCAGGCATGGTGGTGGGCTCCTATAATCCCGGCTACTCGGGAGGCTGAGGCAGGAGAATCGCTTGAACCCAGGAGGCAGAGGTTGCAGTGAGCCAAGATTGCACCACTGCACTCCAGCCTGGGCCACAAAAGCAAAACTCCATCTCAAAATAAATAAATAATAAAAAAATAAAAACACCAATGCCCAAACATCAGTCCCCAAATCAACCAAACCAGATTCTCTGGGGACAGGGCCAGGGTATCAGTCTACATATTGGTATTTTTAGAGTCACCCACAAGTGGCTGTAATGTGCAGCTAGGGTTTAAAAACCAATAGAATTCTTACAATAGGAAAGTTGAACTGGATATGGCGACAAGACCAGACATCAACTTGGTGAAGAAAGAAAGAAGCACTTTCTAAGCAGACAAATGGTCACAAGTACGTGAAACAAGGATGAAAATACAAGATGTCAAGAGGTTTGTTGCAGCTGAAATATAAGATAAAGAGTCATGGGAGATGAGGCTAGACAGTTGGGAGACAGGTCATGAAAGGTGTCATATGCTTTGGTAAGGCATAGAGTATCCCGCATAGACTCTTTGAAGGACTTTAATGCGCATTCAGTTTTATGTATTAGGAAGATTACTCTGTCTCCTGTAGAGAATGGATTTTCATGCAGGATGTAGTCAGAAAAAAAAAGAACAAACACAAAGAGATTGAATTTGATGGGAACAAGACACAGTACAGAAAGACTGGTTATAAAGATAGTGAATCATTCCTGATAAGGATGGAGGGCCTGGATTAAACTCACAGTATTGAAGTAAAGGAAAAGGGGATGGGTTCCAGAATTAGCAGAGGCAAAGTAGGGAGGACTTGACATGGGAAGAAATGGACTTAACTACTGACAGTAAAACTGAAGAGCAGACATGATAAGTCTAAAGGAGGTGGCCATGCAGACCTATATACAGGGAAGAAGGGATGTCAGAGTCGGTATAGCATGACCTGAAGCTGGCCAGGGAATCGGGCAATGGAGGTGAAGGAACAATTGGAAAATACAAGACTCACCTAAAGGGACAAGGCTAGTGAAGAAGGAAAGACGAACATTCTAAGCAGAAGGGTGGCCATGAGTACACCCCTAGGTGAGTTATTTGCATGCACTGTTCCCAGTGCATCATCAGCTGCTGAAGGGCCAGCTCCTCCTTGCAAACTTGTATCCCCAGAGCCTGGCCTGGTACCTGGCACACTGCAAGCTCTCAACCAGTGTTTACAGGAGGAAGAGGAGGGAAGGACACCTCCAGAAAGAATTTTATAAAGCCAGGCTCTCCAAATCAAACAGCAGTGCTGACCCATCTACTTCAAACTTCTGTCTGAGGAGTTTCTTCCTGAAGCACTGACTCCCAAGGAGTGAAAAAGAACAATGCTTCTCACACCTTAATATGCATTTGATTCATCTGCCTAGGGGTTCTTGGTAAAACAAAAAGTCGAACTCAGTTGGGCTGGAGTGGGACTGAGATCTACAAGAAACTACTTAAGAAGGAGACATGGGACCTGTGGCTCAGGCAGGAGCTGCTGCGGTAAACTTGACTCTTTCCCCACAATGGTTGTCTCTGTTCTTCTCGGCCTGATTTCTCTTCAGAGACTAAGGGTCAAACCTATCAGCAGATCAGTAGCTGGAGAGAGAGCTATGAGAAGAGTGGAGGTGGAAATCAGACTCGTGGTTCAGAAATCAAGGGTTTCTAAGGGCTGCAGGAGCAGCAGAAGGAATTAACCTGCAAGAGACTGGTGTGAGGTGTGCACCTGTGATGGGGCCCTGAGTTCAAGGGGGAGAGTGTGGGGCAGGCCTGTTTTTACCTCCAACAACAGATGTTCTCGTTTTTCCACTCCCTGAATTCCCCTTTATCTGCTGAAAATAGGATAAGTACAGCCTTTCCCCCTGCCATTTCTGGAGTCTCTAATCTTGCAACTTGTTTAAAATGCATTCGTATAACTGACTACAGTCTGGCTGTAGCAGCTAGAGGCAGGGGTCTGATAAGAGAAATTCCCTAACTTCCCTCAGATAGGAAATTGAGTTTTTGGCAAGTTAGCATCAAGGGAGCTATTTTCAGCAGAATTTGCCAGGCAGTTCCCCCAAGAGAATTTCTACTTGTGGTACATCCAGGTGGGCTTCTGGCCAGTCTCTTCCCTAAAAAGAATATATCAGTGAGTAGTCTGGTGAGGAGCGTACACTCCTGGAAAAGTAAATTAATCGTTTACCTTTGAAACTCCTCTGTTGATCTTTCAAGGTCCTCCCTAACCTAATTGATGTGACCTCATCTCCCACTCCACACTCAAGCTCAGATTCATGATTGTGCCTATGCATTTGCTGCTTATTCTTTCTTCCCTCTTGCTTCAAATTTCCAGAGTGCAGCTCAAGGCCTGCTACTGCAGGAAACTTCCCTGACCATCCATTTCAGAGTCATTTCCTCCCACCTCCTGCACTGAGCCAGCAACACAGAACTTCATGTGCACTATACTCAAAGAATTTCCTGTCCATCTTCAAGTTTTTTATTCCAACAAGACTATGACTCCCTTGGAGTCAGGGACCAAGGCTAATTTCCTTTGTATTCTGCACAGCACACAGTACAGTGATAGACCATTGTCAGAGGCCAATAAATTTTTTCTCATTTATTCCATTATTCCTTATTGATTGATATAGCATCTGTTTTTAGGAGGCAGATTTGATGCAATGGGTTTTTAAATTTTTTATTTTTTATTTTTGTGGGAACATACTAGGTATATATTTTATGGGGTACAGGAGATATTTTGATATAGGCATGCAATGCATAATAATCACATCAGGGTAACTGGGGTATCCATCACCTCAAGCATTTATCCTTTATTTGTGTCACAAACAATCCAATATTTTAGTTATTTTTAAATGTACAATAAATTTTTGTTGATTGTAGTCACCCTATGGTGCTATTAAATACCAGATCTTATTCATTCTATCTAACTATATTTTTGTACCCATTAACCATCCTCTCTCCCTTACCCCAACTACACTTCCCAGGCTCTGGTAACCATCATTCTACTCTCTATCTTCATGAGTACACTTGTTTTAATTTTTAGCTCCCACAAATAAGTGAGAACATGTGAAGTTTGTCTTTCTGGGCCTGGTTTATTTCACTTAACATAGTGACCTCCAGTTCCATCCATGCTGTTACAAATGACAGGATCTCATTCTTTTTATGGCTGAATAGTACTCCATTGTGTATATGTATCACATTTTCTTTATCCATTCATCTATTGATGGACACTTAGATTTCTTCCAAATCTTGGCTATTGTGAATAGTGCTGCAATGAAAATGGGAGTGCAGATATCTCTTCGATATACTGATTTCCTTTCTTTTGGGCATATACCTAGTAGGGGGATTGCTAATCATATGCTATCTCTATTTTTAATTTTCTGAGGAAGCTCCAAACTGTTCTCCATAGCGACTGTACTAATTTACAGTCCCACCAACAGTGTACAAGGGTTCCCTTTTCTCCACATCCTCCCCAGCATTTGTTGTGCATAAAAGACATTTCACTGGAATAAAAGGATATCTCATTGTACTTTTTTTTTAAGACAGGGTCTTGCTGTTACCCAGGCTGTAGTGCAGTGGCATGATCATAGCTCTCTGCAAACTCAAACTCGTGGTCTCAAGCAATCCTCCCACCTCTACTCAGGAAGCTGAGGTGAACTACAAGTGTGCTCCACCGTACCTGGCTTTTTTATTTTTTTAAGATGAAATGAGGTCTCACTATGTTGCCTAGGCTGTTCTCAAACTCCTGGAATCAAGGGATCCTTCTGCCTTGACTTGACCTCCCAAAGTGCTGGGATTGCGGTCGTGAACCACTATGCCCAATATCTCACTGTACTTTTGATTTTCATTTATTTGATTATCAGTGATGCTGAACACCTTTTTACATACCTGTTTGTCATTTGTATGTCTTCTTTCAAAAAATGTTTATTCAGATTTTTTGTCCATTTTTTAATTGGATTATTGATCTTTTCCTATAAAGTTGTTTGAGCTCATTATATATTCTGGCTATTAATCTCTTGTCAGATTGGCAGTTTGCAAATATTTCCTCCAATTGTGTGGGTTGTCTCTTCACTTTGTTGATTGTTGTGATTGCTGTGCAGAAGTTTTTAACTTGATGTAAACCCATTTGTCCATTTTTGCTTTGGTTGCCTCTGCTTTGGGATATTACTCAATAAGTCTTTGCCTAGTTCAGTGTCCTCGAGAGTTTCCCCAATATTTTCTTTTAGTAATTCAAAGTTTGAGGTCTTAGATTTAAGTCTTTAATTCACTTGGTTGTGATTTTTGTATATGGTGAGAGATAGAGGTCTGGTTTCATTCTTCCTTAAAATCTGTGTTCCCAGCACCATTTATTAAAGAGACTGTCTTTTCCTCCAATGTATATTTTTAGCACCTTTGTCAAAAGTGACTTTATTGTAAATATATGGATTTGTTTCTGGGTTCTCTCTTCTGTTCCAATGGTCTATATGTTTGCTTTTATGCTGTTTTGGTTACTATGGCTCTGTAGTATAATTTGAAGTCAAGTAATGTGATTCCTCCAGTTTTGTTCTTTCTGCTCAGCATAGCTTTGGCTATTCTGGCTCTTTTGTAGTCCCATGTAAATTTTAGGATGGATTTTTCTATTTCTGTGAAGGACGTCACTGGGATTTTGATAGGGATTGCATTGAATCTGTAGATTGCTTTGAGTAGTACGGGCATTTTAACAATATAGATTCTTTCAGTCCAAGAACATAGAATATCTTCCCTTTTTTTATATCTTCTTCAATGCTTTGTATCAATGTTTTATAGTTTTCATTGCCGAGATCTTTCACCTCTTTAGTTAAGTTTATTCCTAGGAATTTAATTTTATCTGTGGCTATTGTAAGTGGCATTAATATTTTTATTTCTTTTTCAGGTTGTTCACTGTTGGCATATAGAAATGCTACTGATTTTTATATGTTGGTATGTTCAGTCAAGATAGGCAACTTGGCTGAATTTGTTTATGAGTTCTAAGAGTTTTGGTGGAGTCTTTAGGTTTTGCCAAATAGATGAACACATCATCTGCAAAAAAAGGGATGATTTTACTTCTTCCTTTCCAATTTGGATGCCCTTTATTTCTTTCTCTTGTCTGATTGCTCTAGCCAGGGATTCCAGTACTATGTTAAATAAGAGTGGTGAAAGTGGACCTCCTTGTCATGTTCCAGATCTTAGAGGAAAGGCATTCAGTTTTTCCCCATTCAGTATGATACTAGCTGTGGGTCTGTCATATATGGCTTTTATTATGTTGAGGTATGTTGCTTTTATATCCAGTTTTTTTAGGGTTTTTATCATGAAGGGATGTTGAATTTTATCAAATGTTTTTTCAGCATCGATTGAGATGGTCATATGGTTTTCAACCTTCATTCTGTTGACATGATATATCACATTGATTGATTTGCATATGTTGAACTGTCCTTGCAGGCCAGGGATAAATCCCACCTGCTCATGATGAATGATCTTTTTAATGTGTTGTTGAACTAAGTTTGTTGGTGTTTTGTTGAGGATTTTTGCATCAGTGTTCATCAGGGATATAGTTCTCTGTTTTTCATGTGTCTTTCTCTGGTTTTGGTATCAGGTTAATACCGGCCTTGTAGAATGAATTTGGAGGTATTCCCTCCTCCTCTATTTTTCAGAATAGTTTGGATAGGATTGGTATAGCTCTTTAAATGCTTGGTAAAATTCAGCAGTAAAGCCACTGGGTCCTGGGCTTTTCTTTACTGGGTTACTTTTTATTACAGCTTCAATCTCATTACTTGTTATTGGTCTGTTCAGGTTTTGGATCCTCATTATTCAATTTTGGTAGGTTGTATGTGTCTAGGGATTTGTCCATTTCTTCTAGGTTTTCCAATTTATTGGCATATAGTAGCCTCTAATGATCCTTTGAATTTCTGTGGTTATCAATGTAATGTACCCTTTTTCCATCACTGATTTTATTTATTTGGGTCTTCTTTTTTTCTTAGTCTCACTAAAGTTTTGTCAATTTTATCTTTTCAAAAAAAAAACAACTTTTTGTTTCATTGATCTTTTATATTGTTTTCTTCTATTCGTTTTCATTTATTTCTGCTCTAATCTTTATTTTTTCTGTTCTACTAATTTTGGGTTTGGCTGACTCTTGCTTTTTTAGCTCTTTAATGTGCGTCATTAGGTTTTGTATTTGAACTTTTTCTACTTTTTTGATGTAGAAGCATATAACTATAAATTTCCCTCTTAGAACTGCTTTTGCTGTATCCTGTAGGTTTTGGTATGTTGTTTTTCCATTATCATTTGTTTCAGGAAATTTTTAGATTTCCTTGTTACTTTTTTCATTGGTCCACTGGCCAATCGGGAGCATTGTATAATTTCCATCTGTTTGTATATGATATGGTTTGGCTGTGTCCCCACCCAAATCTCATCTTGAATTGTAGTTCCCATAATCCCCACGTGTGGTGGGAGGGACCTAGTGGGAAGTAATTGAATCATGGGGACAGTTTTCCCCATGCTATTCTCATGGTAGTGAGTAAGTTCTCACAAGATCTGATGGTTTTACAAGGGGCTTCTCCCTTCGCTCATCTCTCATTCTTCTCCTTCCTGCCACCATGTGATGAAGGACCTGTTTGCTTCCCCTTCCACTGTGATTGTAAGTTTTCTGAGGCTTCCCTACCCCTGCAGAATTCTGAGTCAATTAAACCTCTTTTCTTTATAAATTACCTAATCTCCAGCAGTTCTTTATAGCAGCATGAGAACAGACTAATACAGTATAGTTTCCAAAATTCCTCTTGTTATTGACTTCTACTTTTATTCCATTGCAGTCAAAGGAGAAACTTGATATTATTTCAATGTTTTTGAAACTTTTAAGACTTGGCTTTGTGGCCTAACATATGTTCCATCCTTAAGAATCATCCATGTACAGAGGAGAAGAATGTATTCTGCAGCCTTTGGATGAAATGTTCTGTAATATCTGTTAGGTACATTTGTTCTATAGTGCAGATTAAGTCTGATGTTTCTTTGTTGATTTTTCTGTCTGGATGGTCTGTCCAATGCTGAAAGTGTATTGTTGAAGTCTCCAGCTATTATTGTATTGGGGTCTATCTCTCTCATTAGCTCTAATAATATTTGCTTTATATATCTGTGTGCTCTAGTGTTGGGTGCATATATATATATACAATTGTTATATCCTCTTTCTAAGTTTATCCCTTTATCATTATATAATGACTATCCTTGCCTCTTGTTATACTTTTTATCTTGAAATCTATTTTGTGTCTGATATAAATATAACTATGCCTGCTCTTTTTGTCTTTCCATTTGCATGGAAGACCTTTGCCCAACCCTCAATTTTCAGTCTGTGTGTGTCTTTATAGGTGAAGTGTGTTTCTTGTAGGCAACAGATTGTTGGATCTTCTTTTTGTATCAATTCCGCCACTCTGTCATTTGATATGAGAGTTTACTCCATTACATTTTACGTTATTATTTATAAGTAGGAACTTATTCTTGCCATTTTGTCATTTATTTTCTAGCTGTTTTGTGGTCTTCTCTTCCTTATTTCCTTCCTTCCTGTCTTCTCTTATCCCTGGTGGTGTATTTTAATTTCTTGCTTTTTATTTTGTGTGTGTGTGTGTGTGTGTGTGTGTGTGTGTGTGTGTATCCATTGCATGTTTTTTGATTTGAGATTACCATGAGACTTGCAAATAATATCTTATAACTCATTATTTTAAACTGATGACAACTCAACATTGATTGTATAAACAAATTAACTAACAAGCAAAGAGAAAACTAGTGAAAATTCTACACCTTATTTCTCCTTCATGTTTGAAGCATATTTTTGCCAGATATGCTATTCTAGGATAAGAGGTTTTTTCCTTCAGCACTTTAAATATGTCGCACCACTCTCTCCTAGACTGTAAGTTTTCCACAAAAATGTCTGCTGCCAGATGTATTGGTTGTTATTTGTTTCTTTGTATTGTATGTTATTTGTTTCTTTTCTCTTGCTGCTTTTAGGATCCTTTCTTTTACCTTGACCTTTGGGAGTTTGATTATTAGATACCTTGAGATGGTCTTATTTGAATTAAATCTGTCTGTTGTTTTATAACCTTTTTATAGTTGAATGTTGCTATCTTTCTCTAGGTTTGGGAAGTTATCTGGTATTATCCCTTTGAATAAACTTTCTACCCCTATATCTTTCTCTACCTCCTCCTTAATGCCAATAACTCTTACATTTGCCCTTTTGAGGCTATTTTCTAGATTTTGTAAACATGTGTCATTCTTTTTTATTCTTCCTTTTTTTTTACTCCTCTGACTAGGTATTTTCAAATAGCCCATCTTCAAGCTCACTAACTCTTCCTTCTGCTTGATCAATTCTGCTATTAAGAGACTCTGATGCATTCTTAACTATATCAACTGCATTTTTCAATTCTAGAATTTCTGCTTGATTCTTTTTAACTATTTCAATCTCTTTGTTAAATGTATCTCATAGGATTCTGAATTCCTTCTCCATGTTATCTTGAATTTCACTGAGTTTCTTCACAACAGCTATTTTGAATTCTCCTTCTGAAAGATCACATATCTCTGTCTCTACAGGATTGGTCCCTGGTGCCTTCTTTAGCTAGATGGTCTTGATGCTTGTGGATGTTCATCAGTGTCTGGGCACTGAAGAGTTAGGTATTTATTGTAGCCTTCATGATCCGGACTTGTTTGTACCACCCTTCTTGGGAAGGCTTTCCAGGTATTTGAAGGGTCTTGGGTGTTGCAATTTAAGTTTCGGGTCACTGCAGCTATATCTGCATTAGGGAGTATCCCAAGCCTAGTAATACTGTGGCTCTTGCAGACTTATGGAGGTACTGCCTTGATGGTTTGGATAAGATCATGAAGAACTCTCTCTGAATTACCAGACAGAGCCTCTTGCTCCCTTCCCTTATTTTTTCCAGTCTCTCTTTCTGTGCTGAGCTGCCTGTAGCTGGGAGAGGGGTGACATAAGTACTCCTGTGGCCACCACTGGGACTGTGCTGAGTCAGACCTGAAGCTAGTATGGCACTGGGTCTCACTCAAAGCCCATAATAAACCTTGCCTTTCCACCACCTATCTTCACTCAAGGCCCTAGGGCTCCATAATCAGCAGGTGGCAAAACCAGCTAGACTATGTCCTTCTCTTTAGGGTAGCAAGATCCCCCTGGCCCCTGAGTCTCCAGAGATGCCATCCAGGAGCCCAGGCCTGGAGTTGGAAATCTTGGGAAGCTACCTCGTGCTTTATTCTGCTGTTTCTGAGCTGGCACCCAAGTCACAAGACAAAGTCCTTCCCACTCTTCTCTTTTATTCCACAAGCAGAGGGGTCTTTCCCCATGGCCACCACTGCCTCAGGCCCATGGCAAGTTCTACCTGGCTACCACCGATGTTCACTCAAACCCTAATGGCTCTTCAGTCAGGTTGTGGTAAATGCTTCCAGGCCCAGGACTCTTCCTTCAGGGCAGTGGGCCCCTTCTAGCCCAGGGCACATCCAGAAATACTGTCCAAGAGACAAGGCCTGGAACTGGGGACTGCAAGAACCAGCTTTGTGCTCTACCCCACTGTTACCAAGCTGGTATCTAAGCTGCAAGATGAAGTCCCATTTACTCTTCCTTCTCCTTTTCTCAAGCATTAAGAGTCACTCCCCATAGCCACCACAGCTAGAAATGTGCTGGGTCACACCTGAAAACAGCATATCTCTGAGTCTCACCCAAGGACCATGATGAATACTATCTGAATTATTACTGCTGATTATTCAGGGCCTTGGGGCTCTTTAGTCAGCAAGTGGTGAATCCTGACAGGACTAGGTCCTTCCCTTCAAGGCAGCAGGTTCCCTTTTGGCCCACAATGTGTTTAGAAATGTCATCCAGGAGCTAGGACCTGGAAGCGGGGGCATCATGACGCTGCCTGGTGCCCTATCCTACTGTGGCTGAGCTGGTATCTGAGTTGCAAGACAAAGTTCTCTTTACTCTTCACTCTCCTCTCCTCAAGCAGAGGGAAGGAATCTCTGCAAAAGCTTTGAGCTATGCTGACTGTGGTTGGGGGAGGGATGATATAAGCACTCCTTTAGTCTCCCTGGCTGGTGTCTCACTAGGTTGCATGCCCCACTAGTCCACAGGCTCAGAGCCCAGAATAACATCAAGAGTTGCCCAGGAATTGCAGTCCTTATGGCCTAGACTGCCTTTCCAGTCTATCTAGAACCCCAGAGCACTTTAGCCCATGGTGCCAAGGCTTGCCAGAACTCAGGACCTGACTGCTGGAATGGGTGATTCACCTCTGGCCAGAGCTAGTCTAAATGCTCCTGCCATGTGTTCTAAATCATTTAGACCTCTATGTGGTCTAAATCATCCCTCCATGATTTCTTCCTAGTGTTGCTTTCCACCATGACACGGCAACACTGAATTCCAGTGCAAAGTCCCACAATCACTGCACTCTCCTTCCCTCTCCCAAGCACACAAATATTCTCTCTGTGCCACACAGCCACTGCCAGGGGGATGCAGGAGGGGTGGCACCAGCAATTCAAGACTGTCTTTCCTACTTTCTTCAGTGCCTCTTTCAGTGCTATGAAGTTAAAACCGGGTACTGTGATCACTCACCTGATTTTTGGTTCCTATGAAGGTACATTTTTGTGAATAGTTGTTTGATTTGGTGTTACTATAGGGAGAACAATCAGTGAAGGCTTCTATCCAGCCATCTTGCTCTGCTTCTCATCTGTGCAGTGGATTGTTAAGCAGCAAGCAGGATGTGGTGGTTTGCAAAGACCAAAAGAACTGTAGCCAAAAATTTAAGAATTAGGCTCTAAACACAAACTTATTTAGGAACTCTGTCTCCTCAATATATCTCTTCTCCTTCTTCTTAATATTTTTAAATAATAGTAGAATTAGTGACAGCAGCATTCATAGCAGCAGCATGAGTAGTAGTAACAGCAGCATTCATAGCAGCACCAGTAGCAGCAGAAGCAAAGGAGTAGACGTACTTCACCTCCTTGCCCTCATTACTTTCCCGACCTCCCTCATCTACCAGTCTCCTCCTCACTCACTGTACTCCAAACACACTGACCTTCCTGTTGTTCCTTGAACATGCCAGGCATACTTTTACACCAGGGCCTTTGAACTTGCTCTTCCATTAGCCTGGAATTCTCTTCCCTAAATATGCATATGGCTTATTTACTCCCCAATCTTAGAATTTTTCTGAATGGGACCTTTCTAACAGGATGAATGACAATCTATCCCCTTGTCCTTCTTCCAACACTACCCATCTCTCCTTTCCCTTTCTGCATAATGCATATCACCATCTCACATACTATAAATTGTATTTATGTTATTTGTTATCTTGCTAGAATGTAAGCTCCATGAAGGCAAGAATTTTTCTGTGCTAAACTTGCTGCTGTACCTCAACTGCCTAGAACAGTGCCTACTACATAGTAGGTGCTCAAAATGAATTATTAAAGGAATAAAAAGTAGAACTCCTCAAAGTGCATTATGTGAACCATTGGTAGTACTCAGGATAACTTTAGGTGGCATATGGACTAGTATTTTTATAATCACAGATTTAATAACATGTTTAAAAATTTGAACAATATCAAAAATGATTTTATGAATATAATTACTTAGCATGAGATTGTTTTTTAAAAGTGAGTAGATTTTAAAATGATTTAAATAAAAATATTAGGTAAATAGTAAAGAAAAATATTAGGTAAATAGAAATATAATCTCCACACAGACATGACAGGGATCTGCAAAAGACTGACATTCGACTTCTACTAGAATAATGATAAGTCATTTGATTATGTTGGTATCGTGATTTTTTCTAAAATTGTAGCCTCTACATTAAAAGTAACAGTATTTTGTTCTCAATATATCTGGGACGTGTCAGTGTGGCATTTCTATCTATTCAATATGCACAGGAACCCCAAAGGTTCAGAATCTATTTCAATTTGGTGTTCTGTACAAGTCTAATATATGCTTCATGATGAAAATAATAAATGGCAATAATAATAGCTAACATTTATTGAGCATTTATGGCTAAGCATTTTAGATTCATTATTGCATTCATTCCTTGCAATCTTATGAAGTCTAAAAATCCAAAATACTCCAAAATCTGAAACTTTTTGAGCACCAACATGATGCCACAAGTGGACAATTTCATACCTGACCTCATGTGACAGGTCACAGTCAAAATGCACAAAATTATTAAACGTCTTGTATAAAATTACCTTCAGGCTATGTGTAAAAGGTGTATGTGAAACATAAAGGAATTTTGCATTTATATGTGTTTCATCCCCAAGATATCTCATTATGTATATGCAAATATTACAAAATCTGAAAAAATTCAAAAACCAAAACACTTCAGGTCCCAAGTATTTCAGATAAGGAATACTCAACCTGTGTTAAAAATCTCACTTTACAAATGAGAGAACTAAGGAACAGAAAGTTCTATGAATTTGTTCAAGTTATCACAACTAACAAGTGAGTTAGAATTCAAAGCCAGACAGTCTGACTTCAGAGCACAGTTTTTTATTTTGATTTTTTGTAGAAACGGAGACTTGCTATTTTGTCCAAGCTGGTCTCAAACTCCTGACCTCTAGTGATCCTCCTGCTTTGGCCTCCTAAAGTGCTGGGATTACAAGCATGAACCACTATGCCCAGCCAGAGCCCAGCCTTTTAACGGTAATGTTTTTGCTTTTCAAACAGTGATGTTTATAATTTTTATTTATTGATTTTTAATATATAGGAAAAATCCAACTTAATTCTCTGTTTTTTAAGAAAATCTCTCGGCCCACATTATAAATGAATAGGAAATTAACCTATCTCCTCCTCCCCTTCTCTCCCCTTTATTACTCATTTTTGATTGGTTATATTTGTTTCTTCTATTATTTTACTTTATATGTGTGCATGTACTGGTATCCTGTTGCTTGATTTAGCAAACTTAATATCTTTGCATCACCTGCTATGAAAACAGAGAAGATCTGATACTTACACTGCTGCCCGCCTTCTCACTTCCTCTACCATCTGGTGCTTTTAGTTATCATTTTTCTACAATGCCTTTCTTTATAAATTTTATGAGTTCCGTAACCATAATTGCCACTGCTGTATTAGTTTTATTCCTGTCAATCTTTATGCTCTGGTTCTGTATTCATCTTTTGGACAGCTAAATTTTGTCGTTTAGTGTTTTTTCAAGATCTTACAGGAACTGTATTCAAGACTGTTATGTACATCTGTGCAGGCTGTACACTGCCCATATCCAGGGAGCACCATTCATTCATATTAGAGTCTATGCAAAAAGTGGCCTTATGTGGCAGCCATGAATATATCCTTTAAGTTCTGTTATTTGAAAATATTTGTCAGTTGCTTATTTACTTTTACACAGTTTAGCTGGATGCAAAACTATTGAGTCATTTTCCACCCCAAGGACTCTATAATCGTCGTACTATTCATTGTTCTAGTGTTATCTAGAATTGAGTAATACCATAAAGAAGTGCGAAGCCAGTCTGTGTGCCAGACTTGATCTTTATGAATTCTTGAAAGTTAGAGGATCAGAGTTCTGCCATCCTGATAGGTGAGAAATACAGTAGTCCCAACTTATCCACAAGGGATACAATCAAAGACTCCCAGTGAATGCAAGAGTACCAAACCCTGTATCTATTGTGTTTTTCCTCTACATACCCAGGATAAAGTTTAATTTATGAATTAGGCACTGTAAGAGAGTAATAAAAATAACTAATAATAAAATAAAACAATTATAACAATATACTGTAATAAAAGTTATGTAAATGTACTCTTTCAAAATATCTTATTGTATTGTACCACAGATAATGGAAACCATGGAAAGCAAAACCACAGATAAGGGGGACTACTGTAATATTTTATTGTAGCATTAATGGACACTTCTTTTATTATTCCTTTTGGTATTTTACATATATAATTAAATATAATATAATTATATAGTATTTAATTATATAGTATAATATATTACTATATAATATAATTATTGATATATAATATGATTATATTATATATTTATATATTAATTATATGCTATATAATTAATATATAATATATAATTAGTACATTAATATATAAGTATTAATATATAATGTAATTATTATGTTATATATTATATATTATAAATTAATTATAATATATAATATAATTATATATTAGTTATAATTATTATATGTTATATATTAATTATATAACTAATATATAATTATGTTATGTAATAATTACTTTATATATTAATAATAGAATTGTGCATTTATAATTATTAATTATATATTGACATATACATAATATATAACTATTACAATACAAATTTGTGTGATTTTATATTAATACTATAGTGTATAATATTTTATGCATTTGCTTATTATTATAAGCAAAGTTCAGCATCTTTTCGTGTGTTAAGGTCCTTTTAATTTATTTTTCTATGAACTGGCTGTTCCTGTCCTTGGTTCATTTTTCTATTGGTTTGTAGGTCTGTCTCCTGGTGATTTCTAGCAGTCCTTTACATATTAGATTAGCCCCTTGCAGCTCAAGGCCTGCTTCGTCCAGGAAACTTCCCATGAGTTATATACTAAGATGGAATAATAGTTCCAGCAAAGTAGCAGACAGAGAAGGGGTTTGACATGGGGAACCCTGTCTCTAAAAAAATTTAAAAGTATGAAAAAAATGAGACTCTAGCACATAAAAAGAAAGAAAGGCTGGGTACTGTGGCTCACACCTGTAATCCCAGCACTTTGAGAGGCCGAGATGGGTGGATCTCTTGAGGCCAGGAGTTCAAGACCAAGCTGGGCAACATGGCAAAACCTTATCTCTACTAAAAATACAAAAATTAACAAGGCCTGGTGGTGCACGCCTGTAGTCCCAGCTACTCGGGAGGCTGTGTCAGCTGAAACCCAGGAAGCAGAGGTTGCAGTAAGCCGAGATTGCACCACTGCACTCCAGCCTGGGCAAACAGTGAGACTGTCTCAAATTAAAAAAAAAAAAAAAAAGAGAGAGAGAGTGAGACATAAACCATGGAGTTAGTGTATGTGCCCCCAGAGAAGTCAGGGGGCATGCTATGACTTCAAAATGAGATTGAGGCTAGAAGTCAGGAAGACAATAGATGTCAGGTACTGGTAGAAGGAAAAGAATGGTAGAAAGAGATCAAAGAATTTGTTGAGAGTGCTAAATAAAAAAATTGGAGGCCAGGCATGGTGGCTCACACCTGTAATCCCAACATTTTGGGAGGCCAAAATGGGTGGATCATCTGAGGTCAGGAGTTCAAGACTAGCCTGACCGGCATGGTGAAACCCTGTCTCTACTAAAAATACAAAAATTAGCCAGGCATAGTGGCACACGCCTGTAGTCCCAGCTACTCTGAAAGGCTGAGGCAGGAGAATCACTTGAACCTGGGAGGCGGAGGTTGCAGTGAGCCAAGATAGCGCCACTGCACTCCAGCCTAGATGACAAGAGCGAAACTCCCATCTCAAAAAAAAAAAAGGAGGGAAGTTGGGGTGGCCTGGCGCAGTGGCTCACGCCTGCAATCTCAGCACTTTGGGAAGCTGAGGCAGGCAGATGACAAGGTCAGGAGTTCGAGACCAGCCTGACCAACATGGTGAAACCCCATCTCTACTAAAAATACAAAAAATAGCTGGGCATGGTGGCATGCGCCTGTAATTCCAGTTATTCTGGAGGCTGAGGCAGGAGAATCGCTTGAACCTGGGAGGTGGAGGTTGCAGTGAGTCGAGATCACACCACTGCACTCCAGCCTGGGTGACAGAGCGAGATGCCATCTCAAAAAAATAAAATAGGAAAGAGACCAAAAAGAAACCACTAGAAAGTGATGCGCAAAATTGTAAAAAGCCTCAAGGTGACCCAGCAACTCATTCCCACAAATTTTGCCAAGAGAAATAACATCTGACTACAAAAACACTCATACAAGAATGTTTATCACAGGTTTATTTACAATAGCCCAAAAGTGGAAACAACCCAAGTGTCCAACAACAGGTGAATGGACAAACTCACAGTGGCATATTCACACAATGGATACCACTTCACAAACTACTCATACTGGGAATGACATGGAGGAATTGCAAAAACTCACTGACAGAAAGAAATCTTGGCTGGGTGCAGTGGCTCAAGCCTGTAATCCCAGCAGTTTGGGAGGCTGAGGTGGGCGAATCACTTGAGTCCAGCAGTTCAAGACCAGCCTAGGCAATATGGCAAAACCCTATCTCTAAAAGAAAATACACAATAAAAAATTAGCTGGGCATGGTGGCACAGGCCTGTAATCTCAGCTACTTAGGAGACTGAGGTGGAAGAATCACTTGAGCCTGGGAGGTCAAGGCTGCTGTGAGCCATGATTGCACCACTGAACCCCAGCCTGGGGAACAGAGTGAGACCCTATCTTTGTTTTTTTTAATTTTTAAATAAATTTCACACAGAAGACATATACTTCATATAGGATGTTTGAACTAATATATAGTAAATAAATATCAGAACAGTTGTCTATGGGAAAAGTGGGTACAACAAGATTTTTGAAAAAGGGCAAAAGGAATTTGGTGGGTAATGTTCTATATCTTAATAGGGATTTAGATTATACAGGTACAGGTATTTGTCAAAACATCATATAGTAAATTTGTTTTATGTATTTCATTTTATATAAATTTTACCTCAAAAAAAGAACCATAGACCAATACTGAACTCATTAATATTATGTTGCTGAGATCTGCGGAGGTGATGGGTACTGATGCCTGCCATTCAATTTGAAATGCATCAAGAAAGAAGTTGGTTTGATGGATAGAAAAAGAAGTGAATAGGTGAGTAGACTTGTGATGAAGAAAGTATACTAAAATGTTAACTCTAGGATCTGAGTGGTGAGTATATGCGTGTTCACTATAAAATGTTTCAAACTTCTATGTGTTTTGAAATATTTTAATAAATTTCTTATGAGCAAATAAGTAAATAAGGTAATAAAATGGTAAATTCATAAAAGCTATGGGCAAAAGCGTTGGGGAAAATCTAACTCATGGAGAGAAAAGGAAGCCATCACCTATGTCTAGTGAATCAACAGTGGAGGAAAAGAAGACAACAGAAGAATTAATATGGAGGAAGCCCAAAGAAAATAAGAATCGTGGGTTCAGAACACAGGGACCCCAATCCTAGTAGAGGAAAGATTGGAAGCAAAGAGGATAAAGAAATCAACGGGTAATTCTTAGTAAAATTACATCCATATAGAAAAGGCACGATTTAAGAATGCATAAAAATAGTAAGATTCAAAACATTAAAGTCACAGTTGGCATGGCCCTAAGAGAGAAGAAAGTGGATATGATTTTTCCGCAAGAAATAAAGCTTAATGCCTAGAGAGCATTTGTATTATACATAAAGGGAGTGGGTTTAGGGGTCTTCCCACAAGTCAATAATAGGCAAAGGGAAAGATATGGAAGTAGAATTGTGTTTAATATACAGAACGAAGATGTTTGAAAATCTCAGTTGCCAGATGCATATTTATAATGCTGCAGATGAACGGGAGACTGGGAATAACAAAATGTGAAGCTGCCTCCCAAAAGTAATCTTTCCTTTGTGCAAGAATATTTCAACTGTGTCTTTTAAAAGGTGTACACATGGAAACTCATCAGAACTCAACCTATATCAAATAAGGGCTCTGGGAAGAGTTTGGGAAGGTCGATTGAAGAATTAATGGCCAGTGGGCTACTGGACTAGCCAAAATTGAATGCGTTCCTTCTCTTTGTTTACTAACAGTAGATAGTAAGTATTTGGACAAAAAGGGGACCTATAAAGCTATATACATAACTCTCTAATTATGAATTTGAAGACCTCTTAAGCTTTTGTTTTCTGGTACGTAAAATGAAAATAATTCTCACAATATCTGGTGCATTTTAAGCCTTCAATAATGATTTCTATTGATTTGTGAGGACATGTGAATAAAGAACATTTACAAACGCATTCCTGGAATATACACACACCAGAAAGAGAAGTAAATTAGTAGAATTTTCTGGATGGTAGGAGGGAAAAATTATAGATTGTGAAGCCTAAGGTGTAAGATAAAGTCTTTTTCAACATCCCATAGTAATAACTGAAATTAGTTTCTCAATAGGCAAGAAATTTTGTAGAATTGGGGATGAGCTATATCTTATTAGACAAAGAAGATTTTTTTTTCATAAGAGAAATAATGGAATGGGGAGAGTTTCAAACATCCTTTTGGTTTTAAAGAGTTATGGTACATGTTAGCCAGGCGCGGTGGCTCACGCCTATAATCCCAGCACTTTGGGAGGCTGAGCGGGCAGATGACTTGAAGTCAGGAGTGCGACACCAGCCTGGCCAACATGGTGAAACCCCATCTCCACTAAAAATACAAAATTAGCCGAGCGTGGTGGTGCACGCTTGAGTCTCAGCTACTCAGGAGGCTGAGGCAGGAGAATCGCTTGAACCTGGGAGCCGGAGGTTGCAGTGAGCAGAGATCGCACCACTGCACTCCAGCCTAAGCGACAGAACGAGTCTCTGTCTCAAATAAATAAAGAGTTATGACACATGTTAAAATGGACATAATTGAAGAGAAGAATAAAGTCACAATTTTGCTTACTAGTTATAAAATGAGTTATGCTTGTTGTTAATAATTCAAATAATACTGAAAATGTATAAGGCAAAAATCCTCAATGAGGAAGTAAGTAAAACAGACTTAACTAAAAATAAATATTCCACCCCTAATTCCCTGGAGAGTGTTTAATCCATGATGTACAGGCCACAAGAATTAAATAACATATCTGGAGGTAGGGCCCAAGCATCAGTATTTGTTGAATCTCCCCAGGTGGTGCCAGTGACAGCCAAGTTTGAGCATCAGGGTTTTAGAGCAGTGGCCCTCCAGGTGTGGTCCTCAAACTAGCAGCATCAGTATCAGCTGGGAGCCTGTAAGAAATTCAAACCCTTGGCCTTCCACCCTAGACCCACTGAATCAAACACTCTGGGGGTGGGGTCCAGAAATCTGTGCTTCGCCAAGACCTCCAGACACTTCAATGCAATTTAAGGTTGAGAACATTAAGTATGCAAGAAGAAAAGCGCTGGAGGTAAAGGATGTACTGAACATAGTAACAGGTAGAGTTTGGATATTTGTCCCCTCCAAATGTCAGGTTGAAATTTGATTCCCAGCATTGGAGGTGGGGCCTGGTGCCATGCTTCTTGTACAGTTGTATAGCCTGCAGAACCATGAGCCGAAAAACCCTTTTTCTTTAACAACTACCTAGCCTCAGGTATTCCTTTATAGCAATGCAAATGGTCTAAAACAGTAACTAAATTGTATATTTTACAGTTTGAGTGTCATTTGTATAATAAACAAACATAATAATAACACAATTTTGCCAGGTGTGGTGGCTCACGTCTGTAATCCCAACACTTTGGGAGGCCGAGGCGGGTGAATTACTTGAGGTCACGAGTTTGAGACCAGCCTGGCCAACTTGGTGAAACCCCATCTTTGCTAAAAATACAAAAATAATAGCTGGGCGTGGTGGCGCACGCCTGTAATCCCAGCTATTCGAGAGGCTGAATCATGGGAATCACTTGAACCTGGGAGGCAGAGGTTGCAGTGAGCCAAGATCGCACCACTGCACTTCAGCCTGGGCAACAGAGTAAGATTCCATCTCAAAAAAAAAAAAAATTAAATTAAAACTAAAAAAACAAAAACAAAAAAACACAATTTTAATTTATCTTTCACTTTCCTTTAAAATATCCTTTTTTTCTAGATGAATGTATAGTCAGGTCTTATGACTTTTTTTTTTTTTTTTTTTTTTTTTGAGACAGAGTCTCACTCTGTCACCCAGGCTGGAGTACAGTGTTGTGATCTTGGCTCACTGCAAGCTCCACCTCCCAGGTTCAAGCAATTATCATGCCTCAGCCTCCCAAGTAGCTGGGATTACAGGCGCATGCCACCAGGCCTGGCTAATTTTTATATTTTTAGTGGAGACAGGGTTTCACCATGTTGGCCAGGCTGGTGTCACACTCCTGACTTCAAGTCATCTGCCTGCTCAGCCTCCCAAAGTGCTGGGATTATAGGTGTGAGCCACCACACCCAGCCTTTTATGACTTTTCTACTCACTCTTAAGAAACATCTCCCAATTCAGAAATTATAGAACACCCACAAAGATGGGACTCCCCCCCATGCTTCCAAACCCCTTGGAGGTGGTATGAAGTGCTCCCAGGCCGACATATGGGGAGTGAAAAGGGAAGGAGTAAGGCGGGACAAGGAATTTATCTGTGGCTGATAGCTTCAGCTCTCATGGCCAGGTAGGCAGACTCCTTCCCCTGCGGGTGCTTTCTTGGGCTCCCTGAAAGCCTCTCTGCTGTTCCTCTCTGGCCACTCCCACCATATGGGTCCTGCCTTGTGCTCCTCAGGGGACCGCACCCTGTCAATTACCACCGACCTCTGCAGTCCACTCCACGCAGACTGTCAGGGCCTCCTGGACTCTTCTAGCCCATTTCTCCCTCCAGTGAGGCCAACTTCTGACTGCAGGGAAACCCTTCTATATAACCCTTAGCCCTCCACATCCCTTGGAGGTCAGGAAAATCACCTATCCTGCTGCTGCTAGGCCTCTTCCCCCAACCACAGGGACACATGACAAGTTCTCTGAATGGACACCTTCAAGCCATCTGCTCCCAATGGACTTCAAGGTGTGGGAGATATACATCATGGCGATAGTTCTCTCCCAAGAAAATACTTCCCTCACACAATCTTTGTTCCTCTCTCCTTTCTTGGCTCTTTTCCTTGCCTTAAAATAGGCAAGGATTCAAGAGGTCTTGAACCAGTTTGATGACATTTTCTTTGTAAATTGTCCATTTGGTGATTTGATTTTGAAATATCACATATATCTGACTTGATGTCTATACACAAACTTCCATATTAGCAGCATGTTACATAAAGAGATTCTCATGTGATCCTAAACAACCTGGTGAAATCTACATCACGATTATCATCATTGTCCAAAGTCATGCATCTGAAAAGAGGAAAGGCAGAAGTGTGGTCTCAGTCTCCCAACTCCAGACTATGCTCTTTCAACCACTCCATGAGATGGACAGGACTTGCTGAAAGAGAAATGGGAGGTAGTGATGCATGGACTATGGGGTCACTTATTAGAGCCGAGGTCCAGGGTGAACTGACAGCCCCAAGGGTACAGAACCAGGCAGAGAGTCCCTACAAATTTATTAAGAACCAGAAAATGTCAATAAGATGGTATCTGAGTTAAGTTTCTTTTGACTACAAATAATAAAGACCCACCGAAGGCACTTGAAATAAATGAGTATGTTCACTGTCTTGACAGTAGTGATGGTTTTATGGGTTTATACATATGTCAACACATATCAGATTATTACTTTGAAATATGTGTGGTTTACTATTAATATACGCCAAATATACCTCAATAACATTGTCTCTAAAAACTCAAAAAGCAAAAAATAAACAAAAGAAATGAGCTGCAGTAGAACATCAAAAATGAAATTCCAGGGATAAAGATGCTCTGCAGTAACAAAAATGTGTAAAGGTCGGGGGAGAATTGCACAAGTACAAAAACACATGTGGAAAAAAAACAGGATCATGAAGCAAACAAAAGGAGAAAGTAAAACATTTGAGGTTTAGTGTTCCTAAGATATTAATATTCAGTGTCTATGTACATTTTATTGGCTTTGTTAGGTAGAAGTAAAAGAGTTCTAAATATTTAAATATATAATATGATATAGATTTTACAGTAAAATTCTTGTAAAGCCCAAATGAGATCAAGTATACATTATCATTTTGAAAGGTATAACTTGTTTAAAAGTGTAAGTAGTTATTAATAGTAGAACATTTTAATAGTCATTCCTGATTAATTCAGATTTTCCCTAGCAGACACCTTCTCCCTTTCATGTGTAATTGGATGTCATGCACAGCTTTCTTATCTACAGGTTAAGAACTTTTCAAGAAAGAGTTGTGACCCAGACATGGATGTGTGACTGTACTGCCATAAGCCTCTTTAGGCCTGGTCTCCCCTACTGGTGTACCTCCTGCATACATCACCAGCAAGAATCCTGAATGATGGGAGTGGGAGCCAAGGAGAGTCTGGCACCATGCTGTGTGAAGTTGAGTTCACTTGTCCAGCCATCTGTAACTGGGAAAACAAGCTTCCCACATACATGTGCGATGTCAACAGCTGGAGGATCAGGGATGACTTCAGCCCTTCAGAAAGATCCAGGGCTTATGTCTTGCCTCTCAGAGTAACTTTTCACAAATATGGCAGACTACTCAAACACATTTTCCAGAAATCCCTTGAACTCATTGCAAGCCGCAAGCACATTCCCTTGCCCGGCTGCTTCCAAACAGGTGATGTCCACCCGAGAGTCACAATTCTTGTCTGGCCTCCAGTAGTCAAACTTGCATTTGTTCAGGAGAGGAAGGAGCAACATCTGCCTGTGTCCCTAGGTGCCTAGCACATTGTCTGATGCAAATGAGGGACTCAAAAATTATTTGTGGAAGGAAGGGAGAGACCGAGGACGGGAGAGAAGGAGAGAGACAAAAGGCTCAAGTGAATATTCATCATTTTAGGAAACCAGGGATCCTGCAGAAATGCCCTTATGCAAATATCTACCAGTGTTCTGGAAAATTTAGGAGATTCTTAAGGCACTCTTCACAAGTAGGGACTAAGTGCCTTGGTGGAATATGGCAGATGGGACGTTTCCATGACTCTCAGGTTTACTGCAGTTTCCCCCAGGACACATCTGACCTGAAGGGAGGGATTTCCGTGGCAGACGCTGTTAGCTGCCAACCCAGTATCCATTCTTTCCTCTTCCTTATTAGAACACCAATTTATTGGGCAACATGCATTCATACCTCCCTTAGATTCCCTTGCAGGAAGGGAAGTGGCTATGGGATGTAGTTCTGGTCAAAAAGGTAAAGTAGAAGCCAATAGCGTGGCTATTCTAGAAAAACTTAATTGCTACCTTATGAAGGAAAGAAAGAGGAAGGAATGAAGGAAGGAAGGAAGGAAGGAAGGAAGGAAGGAAAATGGGAGGGAGGGAGGGAGGGGACAGAAAGGGAAAGAGAGAGAATGAAAGAATGAACAAAAGAAAAAGAAGAAAGAAAGAAAAAGAAGAAAAAGAAAGAAAAAGAAAGAAAGGAAAGGAAGAAAGAAAGAAAGAAAGAAAGAAAGAAAGAAAGAAAGAAAGAAAGAAAGAAAGAAAGAAAGAAAGAGAAAGAAATAAATGTAGGTAGGTCTGTCTTAGCCTTTTTGATGATCTTTCTCCCTTTCTCCTGCCTGAAACAAAATGCAATTCCTATTGGTGAAACAGTCATCTTGCACACATGAGCACAGAAGCCACACACTACAGATGGCAAAGCAGGAAGAATGAGGAAGCCTGGGTCTCTGATAGCACTGTGGATATACTGTATCAGTTCTAGACAGACTTCCTCCAGATTTCTTTTTGCATGATAAAAATAAAATCTCTGTTTGGTTCATCACAATCAGGTTTCTGTTTTTAACAGTCTGATGTAATTATAACTGATGAGTCAGTGTATTAGGCCATTCTTGCATTGCTATAAAGAAATATCTGAGACTGGGTAATTTATAAGAGGCTTAACTGGCTCATGGTTCTGCAGGCTGTACAGGAAGCACAGCGCCGGCATCTGCTTCTGGGGAGGCCTCTGGAAGCCACAGTCATGATGGAAGGCAAACTAGGAGCTTGCACATCTCATGCAGAAAGCAGGAGTGGGAAGTGGAGGGGAGGTGCCACACACTTTAAACAACCAGATCTTGTGAGAAGTCACTCACTATCGCGAGGACAGCACTAAGCCATTCATGAGGGATCAGCCCCCATGACCCAATCACCTCCCATCAGGCCCTACCTCCAACATTGGGGATTACATTTCAACATGAGATTTAGGTAGGGAAAAAATATTCATCTGTATTAGTCAGAAACACAATGTGAATCAGTGCACACAAGCACTCCTGGAAACCAACCCACTGGAGGAGAATCACAGCAGTGCCCTTCCATGGGTGTGATCCCCTGAGTTATGGTTATAACTGTGTTCTCTCAGACTCATAAGTAAGGGGACAAAACAAAGAAACCAGACAATATGCTGCCAGACCCTATTGAAGTCAGCCAGAGAAGGCTGTCTTAGAGTTCCACCTCTCTGAAGATAGGATTCACACTCTATTGAAGGGGAATAGAGCTGCTTGGATACAGGCACAGCAGGAAGACAGCTTTTCAAAGAGACAACGAGAAGAGTGCAACAAGTATTGGGGCCACCAGTCAGACTGCTGACAAACTGGCACCTATGATTTGGGCTCTGGCCAACAGAACAAAATGACAAGAGACGATGACAGGAAATGGTGTACCATGATCCAGAAACAGGAACCTCCACATTCCAGCAACAGATTGCAAGCTACAGAGAAAACAAGCTGAGAGTGGACAAGTGGGACTTGGACTTTTCAGATATTGCTGTCTGATGCTTGGAGAACTAGAAACCAGGGAAATATGGCAGATGCCCATGGTTGCCTACCCGAAAAGCATCCTCTCAACCTGTCTTCCTTGCTGAAGAGCCCATTGCCCTCTGCAGAGGTGACAGTGCCATTCACCCACTTTTCCAGCTCCGCTTGCAGCTGAGGAGTGAGTATATGACCTAATTCTGGCCTATGGAACCTGTTGAGGGGCTTCTGGGAAAGATTTTCCTCCTACATAATGCTATCTTCCCCATTTGATGAGGAAATGTAGCACCTTGGACTGCTGTGGTCAACTCATGACCCCAAGGGGAGACACCACCAAAATGCAGATGGCAAATTGGCAAATGGGATGCACCCGAGTCTTCATGATGTGGTGGAGCCACTGCACCGACCCTGAAATCACCTGTTTCCATGCTACTTCTCAGTGAGATAATTGTTCTTACAGTTCGCATTGCTACCAGTTGTGTTCTCTATTACTTACAGCAGCTGAAAGCATCCTTGCTGATACAGGGGGGATGGGAGGAAACCTGGTGGGCCCCAAGCCTCTTGAGAAGGAGTGGAGACACACTCTCACCATTTTTTTCCACCTAAGATCTCACATTAAGAGGCCCAGAAAGAGCCATCAGCATTCAGAAATTGGGGTTTTAATGATTTGTGTCACAGCCCCATCTCTCACCCTCAAAATACCTGCTCTACAGCTGTCAAGAATACAGGAGATGTGAGAAGGAAAACTCAGTGTATCAGGCTTGGTTATCAGAGAATCTTCACTCAATTGGGGGTCAGTAGTCAAAGAATTCCAAGATACTTTCCATGTGAGCAATAGGAAGAGAGAGGGCAGTGATTTCCCTGCATTAAGTTTAGATGGTGAGTCTTGATAGGAGAATGGGCATACTTTTGAGAAACAATACACTATAGTGTATGAGTATTACTGTGTGTGTGAGAGTGTAGACTATATGCTCTGGGGAAGGTAGGGTATAAAGGAACAAACATTTTTGGCAGTATGTACCCATTTAGCACACTGCCTATATATGTTAGTTCACTTCTTTCTAGTCCTCACAAAAATCCTGTAAAGTAAGTATGTGCATCCTTTTTGCAGATTAAGAAACTGAGGAGCCAGGAACGGTGACATGCAACTGTAGTCCTGGCTACTCAGGAGGCTGAGGCAGGAGGATCACTTGAGGCCAGGAGTTCAAGGCTGCAGTGTGCTGTGATCATGCCTGTGAATAGCCACTGCACTGCAGCCTGGGCAACATAACAAGACCTTATCTCAAAGAAAAAAAAAAAAACAGAAAGATATGGAGCCTGTGAGACTTTAGCGAATATGCCCAAAATCACATGGCCATTTGGTTTAATTCCAAAGTCAAGGATCTTTCCATTGCATCACACCGCCTGTGTGGAAACATGTGAGTGTTGAAGAGTGGAGAGGAGGTGGTAGATATGAGTGAGTGTGGTACAGGTATGTGTGTCTATGTTTGTGTGTGAATTAGTGTGTGTGTGTGCAGGTGAGTGTGTGTGTGTGTGTGTGTGTGTGTGTGTAAGAAATGATAGCTAACAGCAAAGTTGTTTATTTATTTTCTTTCTCAGCCATGGCTGAGTTACCTATATGCTAGATGGCCCACTGGATAGATAAGGTGTTGGAGCAAGATTTTTAGATTGCTTTGGGGTAAAGGGAAGTGCTGGATGTCTGCAAGATCACAGCCTCACTGGTGTCTGGTCCCAAGCCTAGCCCAGGCAGAGTTCAACAACCACTTTCTTGGATGAAGACGGGGTTAAAACTGAGACTGTAGCTAAAATTAGTCTTGGATGGTATGTGGGTTGGCAGGTGAATATAGTTTTGGTCTCAGGGCTTCATCCATCTGCCAATCATCAGCACTTTTTTTTTTAAGTTGTCATTTTGCAAGTTTAAAACAGGCTTCTCTGGTGTAAGGAAAACAAAAACATTCCTAAAACCCTCACAGCTGTGTTCAAGGGCTTCTGGACCTCAGGGCAGGACAAAGGAGAGCAGCAAAGTGACTGCTGGGGAAAGGGCAGGACTCGCTTTGACCTCCAGAGAGTTGGACACTGACAGTCTGCAGTGAATGTTCCCATTCCCCTCCAGGGCCTAACTGTGAGGGAACACGGTTAGGTAATGCCACCTTCTCTCCTGGGATGACAGGACTCCTAATCCCTCCTGCGGGTTTCTATGTTCAGATATTCCTTTCAAGTCCTTAGGAAATCATCCCCCAACTAATAAGGCAAGTTCACAAACTGCGAAAATATTGGCCCCCTCCAAATCTCCCTGCCTGGCCAGGGAGCAGTGAGAGAGGCCCTCGGCTGCCACAGGGATGACTCTGGCAGCTGAGGAGAGGCGTCCAGGCCCCATCTCCCTTCCTGTGTCTCCCCTCGGAGCATACTCACACCAGCATTGTTCGTGGGCTCCTGTCTAACAGGGCAGAAGCCATTCCCTAAAGCTGCCTGCATGGAATTCCCATCTCAAACGTGTACCTCAGAGCCAACCACCCCCACCCCATCACACACGAGGGCGGGGCAGGGAACTAGAGTGCGTTTCCAAGGAAAGGCTAGATTTTGAAAAGACCCCAAGTAGTACCTGCCAGTTTTCTTTGTTCCTGGTTTGGCAGATAGAGGAACATTTGATAAGTGTATGAGTAATTTAACTATCCAGGTACATCAGTGAGGGTGGTTCACTATGCTGTGGGGGTCATGAGAGCACAAGGTTAGATATAATTCTCAGCAGGCCCACAGTCTCCCAGGCAAGAAACATGTCAGCGTGCAAGTGAGTTTGAGTTGTTTTATCATATAGATATCCCTGAATCTATCCTGATAAACAAAAAGCTAATTATTTATAAGCTAAATTTAACTATTAGTCCATATTCACACTGCTATAAAGAACGATCTGAAACTGGGTAATTTATAAAGAAAATAGGTTTAACTGACTCACAGTTTCACATGGCTGGGGAGGCCTTAGGAAATTTACAATCATGGTGGAAGGCAAAGGGGAAGCAAAGCACATCTTACATGACAGCAGGAAAGAGAGAGAAGGGGGAGGTGCTACATACTTTTAAATGATGAGATCTCGTGGGAACTCACTCACTATCATGAGAACAGCAAGGATGAAATCCAATCCACCCCATGATCCAACCACCTCCCACTAGGTTCCTCCCCTCACATGTGGGGATTACAATTCGACATGAGATTTGGTTGGGGACACAGGACCAAACCATATCAACTACTATGTGTACCAAATTACTCATAAGAACCCTCATGCCTCTAGTAAAAACAGCTTTAGAGGAAAGAATTCTTTAAATAGGCCATTCTCTTTCATTCTTTCTTTCTTTTTAATTTTTCAAGGCAGGGTCTCACTGTGTGGTCCAGGCTGGAGTACAGTGGCTCGATCATGGCTCATTGCAGCCTCAAACTTCTGGTCTCATGCAATCTTCCCACCTCAACTGGGACTACAGGCATGCATCACCACACCTGGCTAATTTTTTATTTTTTGTAGGGACGGAAGTCTCGCCATGCTGCCCAGGTTAGTCTCAAATTCCTCCCTCTTCAGCTTCCCAAAGTGCTGGGATTATAGGCATGAGCCACCACATCCAGCTTAGCCATCTTCTAAGCTTCCTACAGACCTATAACAAGAGACAGGGAGCTATTCCCTAAAGCTACCTTAATGGAATTCATGCTGTAGGGGAGGGAAAATATCTTTTGCTCTAGCCATCTTGAGTTCTGCAGCTGAGGCCCTGCAAATTAGACTAAGAAGAGACAGATTAACAAGAGAAAAACAGGTTATTAACAGGCGCATCATGCCTTCACCTGGCAGTACCCATCAATGAGTAAATCAGGATGGTTTGAACTTGGGCTTATATAACATCTTAACAAAAGAACAATAAATTTTTAGAGAAGTGACAAGACAAAGGAAAAAAACTTTGAGCTTCTAGCGGCAGCAAATTGTGGAAAGGCAAATATATGGAGAAAATAATGGAAGATAAAGGCTAACTAAGGTTTGTACGTGGGTTACTCCGCTGCCATCTCTGGGCTGATATGGGTCTAGTGTTGTCCTCAGTGATTAATTTCTGTCCTAACTAGTAGGAAGGGGAAGAGGGACCCCTTTACAAATTTATGTTCTGCTTTTAGGCAAATGATTGGGGAAAGGGCGAGACAGAGAGCTTTTCTTGTATCTGCTTCTTCTCAATTGCCTTCAATTGAGAAGACATCTTTTAGGCTGACATATTTTGGGGTGGCATATATTTCTGCCTGTCAGTGTCAACTCAAGTTCTTTCTAGTCTCGCCAGAATGCATCCACTGACATCCCGTCTGCCCAGCATTGGGAAATTTGCTGAGGGACTTTCAAAATAAGTTTCTGCCCTCCATGCACCTGTCCTTTCATGAAGACAAGACTTTCAAATGAAAAAGAGGAAAAGAACAATTAAAGCAGTTCCCTGTATCCATATGGAAGGCAATAAGTGAGTACCTGGCTAGCTGCCTTCTCCCGTGAAGCATCTCAGATACCTGCACTCAGCATCAACGTTCATAAAGGCCTGGAATTAACTCACTGTCCACAGTGGGCCATTCCCTTTTCTCGCTCATGCTGCCCCCTCAGCGTGGCATGGCCTTCCTCCCATCAGAGTTCTCCCTACAGAGCCAGCTCCTCAAAGCCCGCCTGCTTTGTGACATTCCCAGATGCCCGGTCAGGATGAACAACTCCTCCGACCAGACTCTCATTGTGGGCCAAAAGACCTGGAATCAGGAGTTACTTATTACAGCTTAATGGGCAGAGAAAAGGAAATCAGAGGCAGAGCTCCCCAGAGATCATTATTCTTTGTAAATTTTCGTTACACAACTGATATATATGTTTTTATAACAACAAAGAGAGTAAACAAAAAGTTTCAGGACGTTCTTTGTAAATTTTCATTACACAACTGATATATATGTTTTTATAACAACAAAAAGAGTAAACAAAAAGTTTAAGGACACAAATGAAAATTATTGCATTTCCACAACCCAGAAACAAGAAGTAACATTTGGTAAACCTTTTTTCTGGATGTTATTCTACCTGTATCTAGATAAAAAGAAGTTTAGGTGTAGGTGCAGATACAGATAATGTGTCTACCAAGAAAAAATAAAACAATACTGCACTGGGCTGTTTCTGTTTCGTTAACTGCTTGTTTCACTTGACAATGGATACTGAGCATCTTTCCACGTCAGAATTACCCTTCTAACGTCAGGCAGGTCAGAGTCAGCCTGATGTCCATGCAATTTCCTCCATAGATTAGATACAGAAAAAAAGCCACCAAAGGTAAAGACAAGAGACTCCCCCCAGAGCTACCCCCTGGGAGAGGCCAATCCTGCAGCACCTCCCGACTCAGCACCCGTGCACAAACCCAGCTCCCTAAATGTGGGGTCGGGAGCTTCAATACCCAGACCCATTCCCACCTTCTGCTCATTCTGGCCTCAGCAAAACTTGAACCAAGCAAGCATAGGGCAGTTTAAGTTAAAGGGATCTGGTCGGGCACAGTGGCTCATGCCTGGTAATCCCAGCACTTTGAAAAGTGAAGGCAGGCGGATCACTTGAGGTCAGGAGTTCGAGACTCACCTGACCAATGTGGTGAAACCCCATCTCTACTAAAAAAAAAAAAAAAAAAAAAAAATTAGCTGGGCATGGTGGCACATGCCTGTAATCCCACCTACTCCAACAGGTGGAGGTTGCAGTGAGCCGAGATCGCGCCACTGCACTCCAGCCTGGGCCACAGAGTGAGACTCTGTCTCAAAAAAAAACAAAGATAAAGGAATCTGTGCCTCAGTTCTTGAGATGGCTTAGAGTTGCTGCCTGGTATAGACAGTGCCAGATTTCCACAAATCAGCAGTGAATTGAGAACCAGTTTTAAGGAAAACTGCTCAACATCTTCACCATCATGTTTATCAACCTCAGAGTATTCTATGGTAAGAATGTTTATTTATTCAATTCCTATAATCATATTTAGGATATATATATTATTATTATTAAAAAGTGGACTGCTGTGAACATGTTTGCCAGATTTTTATGCATTATCATAAATGCACAATTTATCCTTTTCTTAAAGATAAATTTCTAGAGGTAGAATTTCTAGATCAAAGAACATACAGGTTTTTTTAATAGCTTTTAAAATAGATAAAGTGGCCAAGTTTCTATCAATTTTACGTTTGTGTATTAAAACGCACAAAGCACCTGGCATAGGAGATACCACAATCACAAAGGTGGTTTTCCCAGGGTGAGGCTTATCCATTGCACTCTAGATGTGCTGATACCTGCGATTATCCCAAATGCGGGAAACTCAGCTGCATAATTTGTGGTAGTGGGGGACTGTGTGTGTGCTTTCCCCTGATGTTTATTAAAAAGAAAAAATTTTTGATTCAAAGTAAATAAAGTAAAATGCACAAAGGAACAGCCCATACCTCACCCACACATGGACAAAATAAAAGGCAGAGACAACCTCGTTGTCTGGATTTACAGTTCTTTGACTACTGCTGAGAACAAATATTTCAGAAAATAGTTATAGGTTATTTTTATCTTTTTTTTTTGAATAGTGAGTTCTTGACCTTTGTCCCTGGACTCCTTGAAGTCCTACCACATGTTAAACCTTAGGATAATACAATGGACACTGATTTTGTCTACTCTGGAGAATTTCCAAGAGTAAGGAGCAAAGTTCCCCAGTTCCCATGGGGCCTACCCCCACTCCAGCTCACACCCCTTGCCTGCTAACCAAATTTGACTGCAAAGGTGTGATGGAGAAACTCCCAGCTTTTTTTTTTTTATCTCTGGCTCTAGAACTTTGAAGCCACTCAACCTAAAGACAAGTCTACTCAAATGGCAAACCCTACCAGCCATCTCTTGGCTCCCTCCCCTCCCCTCCTCTCCCTTTAGAACACAGCCTCAGCTCCTACCAGATCATGACACCTTTACTCCTCTTGCCCTAACACTCCCAGACAGTAGAAGACTTAGTCTGAAAATACATGTGTTCCCCATGTGTGTCTGCATCTGTGAGAGAGAGTCAGTTCAGCAGACCCTCAGTGAGTGTTCGAGTATGCAGGGCCCTGAGCCCAGTGCTATTAGACACATGGAGATTTAAAAAAAAAACAAAACAAAAAAAAGACATGGCCGGCTGCAGTGGCTCAGGCCTGTAATCCCAACACTTTGGAAGGCTGAGGCAGATGGATTACTTAAGGTCAGGAGTTCAGGATCAGCCTGACCAACCTGGTGAAATGCTGTCTCTACTAAAAATACAAAAAATTAGCTGGGTGTGGTGGTGGGCACCTGTAATCCCAGCTACTAGGGAGGCTGAGGCATGAGAAACACTTGAACCCAGGAGGCAGAGGTTGCAGTGAGCTGAGATCGCACCACTGCACTCCAGCCCGGGAGACAGAGCAAGACTCCACCTCAAAAAAAAAAGAAAGAAAGAAAGACATAATCTTTGCCTTCCAGAAATTAACAATCAGGTATGTGACTTATACTCAGATAATGACAGATGGGTACATTTTGAAAATCCTGTAAGAGAAGTAAAGACACTGTGCTATGGGAGGCTAACTTCCAGTGTGGAAAGTTGAAGACTTCATGGAGGAAGTGGAATTTAAGCCTGACAGAAATGGGGGAAAGACAGTCCAGGAAGAAGAAACAGTCTAAGTAAAGGCAAAAAGATGGGGTAGTGCATTCAAGAACTGCTGAGTTCCATTTAGCTGAGAGTAGTTTATCTGCAATGGACTGAAGTTTGTATCCCCTCAAACTTTGTATGTTGAAATGCTAACCCCAAAGCAACAGTATTTGAAGACGGAGTCTTTGGGAGATGATTAGGTCATGAAGGTGGAGCCATTATGAATGAGATTAGTGTTCTTAGATGTGTAAACCAAAAATAAAATTCTAAGCCCTTCAATTGACTGATGAAGCCCCCCTCTCAGCCAAGGGCATTCCAAAGTAAAACTAGTTCAGGCTGTGATGGAAAGCGGAAGTCAGACATGCTTCATTATACCCTCCTCCTTTTGGAATTCAGGCACAAATTGTCAGTGCTAACATTAAAGCAGAGATCTTAAGATTGATAAAACAGACTCTTTGCAGCAATAAGATACCAAATTCCAACCTGACTCTACTATAGCATCACATGATAGATAGTAGGCCCTGAAAGAAATCGAAGTATTTTGCCCTAAAATTTATTTATTTGACATATTTTGAAATGGCCCTGCAAAGCTGCCTCTTGTAGGGAAAATTACTCTCTAGAGAATCTCCTTCCCTTTCCAGGTCTTTTCCCTGATCTAGGAGAGAATCAACTCTTTCAACCAATTGCCAATCAGAAAACCTTTGAAACCACCTGTGACCTGGAAGCCTCCACCTCACCCCACCCCACTTGGAGTTGTCCTGCCTTTCCAGACTGAACCACCGTGCACCTTACATGCATTGATGGATGTCTGCCTGTAACTTCTGTTCCCCCTAAAATGTATAAAATTAAGCTGTGACCCAACTACCTTGGGTATATGTTCTCAGGACCTCGTCAGACTGTGTCATCAGTCATGGTCCTCACATTTGGCTCAGAGTAAATCTCTTCAAATATTTTACACAGTTTGACTCTTTTCATTGACATAAGAAGAGGCCAGAAGCCAGGTACAGTGTCACACACCTGCAGTCCCAGCTACTTGGGAGGCTAAGACAGGGGTATTGCTTGAGCCCAGGAGTTTGAGTTCAGCCTGGGCAATACAGAAAGACCCTGTCTCTAAAAAAGAAAAAAAAAAAGAAGAAGCCAGAGAGCTAGTCAGCTCTCCTTTTTCCAGTGTGAGGACACACCAAGAAGATGGCTGCCTGTGAACCAGGAAAAGAGCCCTCACCAAGAACCCAACCCTGCTGGCACCCTGGTCTCAGACTTCCATCCCCCAAAACTGTGAGAAATAAATATTTGCTGTTTAAGCCACTCAGTTTGCAGTATGTTGTTACAGCAGGCACTGTCTAAGGAGAAGGAATAGAAGATGAAGTCAGGCAGGAAGGCAGAGGCCAAACTTTGGAGGCCTGAATGCTGGGCCAAGAAACAGGGAGTTTTATTGACAACATTTAAGCAAGGAAGACATAGTCATAAGTGATCAGATATAATTGGCCACAACTATTTTAATTTAGAGATTAGATACCTAACCAAGAAAGACAAGAAAAGATGTAAATTGCCTACTCTGCCTTAAAAAAATAACAGGCCGGGCGCGGTGGCTCACGCCTGTAATCCCAACACTTTGGGAGGCCGAGACGGGCAGATCACGAGGTCAGGAGATCAAGACCATCCTGGCTAACACAGTGAAACCCTGTCTCTACTAAAAATACAAAAAAATTAGCTGGGTGTGGTGATGGGCACCTGTAGTCCCAGCTACTCGGGAGGCTGAGGCAGAATGGCATGAACCCGGGAGGCAGGGCTTGCAGTGAGCCGAGATCGCACACTGCACTCCAGCCTGGGTGACAGAGCAAGACTCTGTCTCAAAAATAAATAAATAAATAAATAACACAACCATTGCCATTGATGTGGACAGATTCCTGTTCATCTATGGATCATGCAACATAACAATGGATATGCACATTGTCCCACACCTGCCATTTTGATGTGGGATGCTGTTTGCTTACAACTCAAAAAACTTCATGTGTGCTCAATCTTTATAGTTTGTTTGTGCAGGTCTTTCTCTCTGAGCTGGTGTCCAAGATTTCCAGACAGAAGGAAGAGCAAGTGTACCCTCTGTGTCCAGATCCTTAAATGCATCTGAGCCGCCTTTGACCCCACCTGTCCCCACACCTTGATTTCAACCCCACGAGTGGGGCAAATGAGAACCTCTCTCCTGTCTCCTTTCTCTCTCTCTCCCAGTCTCCTCCTTCCAGCCCAGAAAGGGTCTTTACTGCCTTCCTGTATGGTGAGAAATTGCTCTATATGACATCCTACCTAATTTCCTCTCCTATTGTTAACATGAATAAACTCAAAACTCTAATCCTCCAGCTTTGATTCACATAGAACCCACAAACCTTACTTCTCCCAAAGAAGCTGGCTCTGCACATAAAAATCTTGCAAATGAAAATCCTGATTATTATCTCTGAAATGTACCTGAGACCCTATCTGGGAAGTCAGGAACTGAAATTGATCTCTAGTCTTCAGTTAGATTTTGCAAAGCCCACTGTGTAGTAAATGATTTAACTTTGCTCAAAGAGCGGTCTGGACTTTGCTGTTGGCCCCTGGGCAGTCATCTCTAAGCCCTTGGAATGTCCTGCCTGATAACAGTGTCCTTGTTTTCTAAGGGACTTTGGACTACACCAGAAAGTCCAACAGTGTGATTTATAGTGAAAATTTGAGTCATATGATATCAGTTCAATCTCTAGAGGAACTGGAACCTGAGGTCAGCCATGTGGAAAGTTGACCATGAAACCTCAGTACAAACTCTTAGACTACCACAGTGGCTCATGCCTGTAATCCTAACACTTTGAGAGGCTGAGGTGGGAGTATCACTTGAGGTCAGGAGTTCAAGACCAGCCTGGGCAACATAGCAAGACCCTGCCTTTACAAAATAAATTTAAAAATTAGCCAAGCATGGTGACGCATGCCTGTATTCCCAGCTACTTGGGAGGCTGAGGCTGGAGGATTGCTTGAGCCCAAGAGTTTGAGGTTACAGTGAGCTATGACTGTGCCACTGCACCACAGCCTGGATGACAGAACAAGACCCTATTTCTAAAATAAAATAACCCTGGTCACCCAGGCTCAGGTGAGCTTCTTGGTTGGCAGTACTCCATATGTATTATCAAATATCTTTGCTGGAAGAGTAACACTGTCCATGACACTAGGAGAAGATGGCTGAAAGCTCCATGCTTGGAATTTTCCTGGACCCTGCCCTACATGTCTCTTCCCTTGGCTGATTTTCATCTGTATGCTTTCCCTGTACTAAACTGTAACCATGAGTATAACAGCCTTCAGTGAGCTCTGTGAATCCTTCTAGAAAATTCTAGCAAATGACCAAATGTGGGGATGGTCTTGGGAACCCCCTGAACTTACATTTGGTATCAGAAGTGAGGGTGGTCTTGAGGGCTATTTGTCTAATTCTTCACCCCCTGATAGTAGCTGCCACATCCTCAGTGGGAAAAGAGGACCACAGAGCAACAAAAATTAACTGCGATGAGAATTAGACAAGATAATAGTTCCTAATACACACATATAAAAAGAAAACCAACAGTGCACACTAGGTGAATGCTAATAGTGAGATGCAGGCTCTGAGTAGTACCAAATTCAGAAGAAGGAACAGTGACTGTGGATGAAAGTGGTGAGGGAAGACTTCCTGGAGGTGGTGGGACTTGAACTGGGATTTTGAGGATGTAGAGAAATTAAACAGGCATAGTGAAGAAGAGCATTCCAAGTAGGAAAGAATATTTACATCAGCTTGCTAAACTGGCATATCGATTAGAAGTCTAGAGAGTAAAGGTTACAACAGAAAATTAAGGTATTATTAGCCTTGAAAGCTTCCTGATGTTATTTATCTCCATGGGCTCCTTCATTAGCCAATCACTGTAAAAATATTTTCAAAATACCAAGAATCCCATTGCTAATTTGGAACACAGAGGCAAGAATTCTATTCTTGATTCTTTGATCTTTTCCACAGCCCATGCTAAACATATCTCTCTGAAAGAGTAGATTGGCCTTGAGAAAGATGGGATCGGTGAAGACCCATGGCCTTTGTACTCACAAGAAAGCCTTGGGAGTCAACGCTGCCCAATATCAGCCATGCCAGAGGATGAAAGTGCACTGCCCAACATCAGCCATGCCAGAGGATGAAAGTGCACTGCCCATCTCCAGCAGGTGCCAGTCATAGAGGATGAAAGCAAACAGTGCCCCCTAGAGGTGTGTGATGGGGCTGCCCTGTGGGTAAGGAAAAGCTTTAAGGCTGCAAGCCTGATGTAAAATCACTGGCTCCAATAAGAGAAATTACAGAGCATGGGCTCCTATACTGAAGGCCATAACATAATTAAGGTTAAGGAAACCAGGCGTCATGGTGCACGCCAGTAGTCCCAGCTACTCAGGAGGCTGAAGTGGGAGGATCGCTTCAGCCCAGGAGTTCAAGGCTGCAGTAAGCTGTGATCATGCCACTGCACTCCAGCCTGGATGACAGAGCAAGACCCTGTCTCAAAAATAAATAAATAAATAAATAAATAAGAAAACTAAGGAATCCCCCTACACATACACACACACACACACACACGCAGTGAAATACTTCCAAGTATTCTCACCCAACCTGGATATACGGACTGTTTTCCATCTGTTCTCTCCAAAACACTATAGCAAACATAGGAAATAGAATTTTTCCCTTCTATTTCTGTTCTTTCTATTCCTATGCTTTCTATTTTCTATCTACTTATAGCTATCTATTTCTATTCTATTGTTTTGTATTCAAAACTTTATAGAAAATAGAATTTCCCTTTTCAATATGACATAACTTTTTTTAGGGAGATCAGGAACCTCATTAGAATTTGATGAAAGTCCTGAACTCTTACCCTAACAACACACACACACACACGCACACACACACACACGAAAGAGAGAGTTTTGTGCAAAACTCTAGGTATCTCTAAAACCCCCCTGCCTCACAGGACCAAAATGTGATCCTGACATCCAGTGGTAAGCCCCTTCTTTATGATGTTCATTACTTTACCTCTGTCAGGAGTTTCTGAATTTTGGCTATGTCATAGTGTCAGTGTGGTCATTTACTTTTAAAAGACTTTGGAATGAGCTATGTAATGTGTCAAGGGTGATTCGTTAGCATATGAAGAACCCCAAGCAAAAATTCACAATCCAGCGGTGGCTACTCAGCCCCTCAAATACTGATTGTTACTTAAGTCCACACCACAGGTTTGTAAAATAGCATGAAGGATGTTCGAAATAATTGACACTGGCAAAATGAGTGATGTTCAAGGAATAAGGTTGCCATAAAAATTATCCAGGCCCCTTGAAAACATTAATGCTAAATAAGCCAGACACAAAGGGACAAATATTACATGATTCAACTCATACGAGGTAGTTGGAATAGTCAAATTCATAGAGACAAAAAGTAGAATGGTGGTTTCCCAGGGCTGGGAGTAAGGGAGAAAGGAGAGTTATTTTCTAATGGATATAGAGTTTCAGTTTGGGAAAATAAAAAAGTTTTGGAAATGCATGGTGGTGCTGGTTGCACAACATGATGAATGTACTTAATGTCACAAAACTGTATAGTTTAAAACCGTTCAAATAGTAAATTTTATGTATATTTTATCACAATGAGAAAAATTTACGCAGACCCTCCCATGCCTACATGAATGAAGTGCAAGGAACAGGCAAGCCCAGGATCTAATACCGTTGGAGAAAACATTAGAGAAAGTGTCTGTCCCCACAATTTAGGGACTCCAACCAATATCTCATGTTAACATTTTAATCCAAAGTGGCTGCAATGATGTACGATAGCCAGGATGGCCAATCTTAGGCTCTGGGATTGACTTGACTTCAAAGTCATCAGAAATCATAGCATCCACCTCTAAGTAACCCTTTGATGAAGTCAGTGAGAGGGGCCTCCCCTGAGTTTAAGGAGCACAATGTGTGACTATTTTTATGCTTGTATATCTGGCAGAATTCTGTCAAAAATGTGCTTTCACTGTAACATCCCACCATTGGCCAGGTTGTGGAGAACGTTTCCCCCCTAATCTCCAGAGGCTGCTACTCTTCTAACCAAGGAACCTGACAATTGCTGAACAGGCCAGATTCGCCTAAGCCACTATCCAAGTTCAGAAGAAACTCAGCCTGGCCTTCAGCCAAGAATGCAGCAAAACAGACAGTAGCTCAGGCCTCCAGCCTGGCCCCAGCTGAGCCGACAGCTGCCCAAAAACTTCACCCTGATGGGATTGCTTTGACTTGGAGAAAAGCCACAGGATTTTTGAAGTCCCATCTTGTCTCCACCCAGACTCAATAAGAGAAACTGTAGCCACACCAAGACCAGTTGCTGGGCAATATAAGGGAAAAAAGGAAAAAGACTACTTAATTAAGGAGCTAACTCAGTTATCTATCAGGAAAGCTAAGTGCATGCTGCAGGATAGATAAATATAGACCTTAAATGTAAAATATTACACCGTATCATAACTAAGTTAAAGCTCATAAAGATTAGAAAATTGTTAATTCTCAAATTTCAGGAACATTGCATCATAAAAGAACAAGGAGTGAGAAACTGAAACCGTCAACACAAGGTCCACCAACCCAAATGAACTTCAGATATGAATTAGTTAGCTCTTTCAGTTACCAGTAAATATTTACTGAATGCGTCCAATATACCAGACAGCTCTGAGATAGCATGCAGGAATAACAGTGGTATGGTCTTTTTTTTTTTTCCTATTTCCGTAGGAGCTTATGGTTATTAAAAGGAAGGCAGAAACACAAAAAAAATAAGTTAGTGGTTAAAGGTTTTTTTTTTTTTCTGCAATACTTTGGTGTCAGAAACAAATATGAGGATTTTCCATACTAACAGTCAATTCTCCAACACAAACTAGGTGGCCTACAACTCAACTCAATTCAATGCTGACATTAACTACCCGGACTCCACAGGTTTAAGGGCTGAGATCCACAACACTGTCCCCACCTCAGGCGCCAATTGCAAGTATTGGGTTTCCAGGTTACCCACACTTCTGTCCAACTCGGCAACAAAGTTCCAGGTTCCCATAAGCCCATTTAATAATGTGCCAGAACAGTGGGCAGAACTCAGGAAAGCAATTTGCTTACATTTACCAAGATACAACTCAGGAACAGCCAAATGGAGGAGATGCATAGAGCAGGATAGGAAGGGGGCGGCAGGGGTGATGCACAGAGCTTCCATGCCCTCTTCAGGTGCGCCACCCTCCCGGCACCTTGATGAGTCCACCACCCAGAAGCTCTCTGGATTGTTCAGTAGTGTTTATAGAGCTCAATCTCCAGCACTCACCTCTTCCCTTCCCAAAGTCGGTAGGTGAGGCTGAAAGTTCCAACCCTCTAATCACTTGCTCTTTCTGGTGACCAGCCCCATCCTGAGGCTACCTAGGGGTCCCACTGTAAGTCACCTCCTTAGCATAAACTCAGGTGTGATGGAAAGGGGTTTGTTATGAATAACAAAAGACACTCCCCTCACTCAGAAAATGCCAAGGGTTTTAGTGGCTCCGTGCCAGGAACTGGGGACAAAAACCAAATATACTTTTGTATTAATCCACAGTGGTCAAATAAAATATTCAGGGTGGGTTCTGTGGGGGTGCAAAGAAGAACGAGATAATTTTATTGAGGGTGATGAGTTGGAAAAAGCCTCAGACAGGAGGCTGTGACTATGTTTTAAAAGGCAATAGGTGTTCACTGGGCAGACAATGGAAGGAATGGCAAATGGACCAAGAAGAAGGAAATGGCCCAGTGCCGCACACTCGAACTCCTGACCTCGTGATCCGCCCGCCTTGGCCTCCCAAAGTGCTAGGATTACAGGCATGAGCCACCACGCCCAGCTAGCCAGAGGAACTTTTAAAAACTATATCAAATGAGCTGAGTGTGGTGGCTCATGCCTGTAATCCCAGCACTTTGGGAGGTGAAGCAGGCAGAGCATTTGAGGTCAAGAGTTGGAGACCACCCTGGGCAACACGGTGAAACCCCGTCTCTACTAAAAATACAAAAATTAGCCAGGAGTAGTGGCAGGCGCCTGTAATTTCAGTTACGCAGGAGGCTGAGGGAGAAGAATCACTTGAACCCATCAGGCAGAGGTTGCAGTGAGCAGAGATCACGCCACTGTACTCCAGCCTGGGCAACAGAGGAAGACTCTGCTTCAAGAAAAAAAAAAAAAAAAAAAAAAAAAACTGTCAAATGGCCGGGCACAGTGGCTCACATGGTGGAAGGATGATCACTGAAGGCCAGGAGTTCAAGACCAGCCTGGACAACATACTGAGTCTCCCAACTCTACAAAAAAAAAGATTTTTTTAAAAATTTTTTTACTTAAAAAAAAAAAGCTATAACAAATTTTATCACTCTTCTGCTTTCAACCCTCCAAGGATTTTCCATCCCACATTAAATAAACTCCAAACTCTTTACCCTGGTCAGCAAGCCCCTATGATCTTCCCCCTGCCTATTTCTCTGTCATAAAGTAACTATGTTTTTTCCCTTTGTTGGCTCTGTGAAAGATGCAGATACCAGGATGAAATTGCGTTTGTCAGACCCAGGCAAAATAGGGCCAGGAAGAGAAGGTATGAAGGAGAGGACTCCCGTTTACACATCTGAGATAAGAACTCTTTCCAAGGACTTTCTAAAAACCCCATAAGAAACCCTTTCACATCCTTTATGCATCTCCTGATTTGATAAAGTTTATCACTAGACACTCTGAAGGACTGCAGTAATTCAGATAAGATGTTCTCTGAAGAACACTTGCCCAGTAACAGGATCTCTACCAATAAACTGACAACTCTGGCTTTGAACCTCAGGAACCAATGAACTCTGTTTCTAAGCAGCTTATGTAAATCTCTTTTTGCTAATAAAAGCTCCTCTTATCCTTCCCTCAATGCACTGGTGGTTTGCCATTCCATGCATTCTGAATTATAATCCTTATTTCTTATTCCTGATTAAACTCAACATATTTAGGGATAATTTTCTCATGTCTTTTTTTAGGTTGACAGCTCCATTCTAGCTTAATTGGGCCTCATGACTGTTCCTCAAACGCGCCATGCATTTTCCCATCTCACTGTCTTTGTGCTTACAGTACCCCCAGTTAGCAGTGGAGGACCTTGTCAATGGCACAAGAAGTTTGGAGGCAGGATAATGAAGTGGTTGACAGCACAGACTCTGATTTCAGATTTCCTTGGTGCAAGGCCTCGCTCTTCCTCTTATTAGCTGTGAGAAATTATTTAACTTCTCTTTGTCTTGCTTTCCTCGTCTGTAGGATAGAGACGCTAAACAAAAATAGCATTTACATCACAAGGTTATTGAAAAAATCAGATAAGTTAATTCATGCAAAGCATTTAATATAATGTCTGGAACATAACATAGATGTTAGATTACTTCTTTTTCTACAGGTGAAGGTGGAACACATTGAAAAATTTTGTTTCATTGCTGTTGTTGTTTTGGTTTAGTTTTGGCTTTTTAATTCTTTTTAATTTTTTGAAATAGAGTCTCACTCCATTGCCCAGGCTGGAGTGCAGTGGTGCAATCTTGGCTCACTGCAACCTTCGCCTCCCTGGTTCAGGCGATTTTCATGCCTCAGCCTCCCAAGTAGCTGGAACTACAGGCATGCACCACCAGGCCTGGCTAATTTTTGTATTTTTAGTAGAGATGGGGTTTCGCCATGTTGGCCAGGCTGGTCTTGAACTCCTGACCTCAAGTGATCCACCTGCATGGGCCTCCCAAAGTGCTGTGATTACAGGCATGAGCCACTGCGCCTGACCTCTCAATTTTTAATTTTTGTGGGCACATAGTAGGCACATATATTTATGGGGTACATGAGAGTTTTGATATAGGCATGCAATGTGAAATAAGCACGTCATAGAGAATGGGTATCCATTCTCCCAAGCATTCATCCTTTAAGTTACAAACAATCCAAATACACTCTTCTAGTTATTTTTAAATGTACAGTTAAGTTATTATTAACTGTAGTCACATCGTTGTGCTATCAAATAGTATGTCTTATTCATTCTTTCTATTTTTTTTTTTTTACCCATTAATCATCCCCATCTTTCCCCAGCCCCCCACAACCCTTCCCAGCCTCTGGTAACCATCCTTCTACTCTCTATGTCCATGAGTTCAATAGTTTTGATTTTTATATCCTACAAATAACTGACAACATGTGATGTTTGTCTTTCTGTGCCTAGCTTATTTCACTCAATGATCTCCAGTTCCATCTATGTTGTTGCAAATGACTGGATCTCATTCTTTTCTGTGGCTGAATCACACTCCATTGTGTATATGTACCACATTTTCCTTATCAATTAATCTGTTGATGAACACTTAGGCTACTTCCAACTCTTAGCTATAATAAACAGTGCTGCAACAAACATAGGAGTGCAGATACCTCTTCCATATACTGATTTCCTTTCTTTTGGGTATATACCCAACAGTGGGATTGCTGGGTCATATGATAGCCCAATTTTTAGTTTTTTGAGAAACCTCCAAACTGTTCTCCATAGTGGTTGTACTAATTTACATTCCCACCAACAGTATATGAAGTTTCCCTTTTCTCCACATCCTCACCAGCACTTGTTATTGCCTGTTTTTTGGATATAAGCCATTTTAACTTGAGTGAGATGATATCTCATTGTAGTTTTGATTTACATTTATCTGATGGTCAGTGATGTTGAGCACTTTTTCACGTGCCTGTTTGCCATTTGTATGTCTTCTTTTGAGAAATATCTATCCCAATCTTTTGCCCATTTTTTATTGAATTATTAGATTCTTTCCTGTAGAGTTGTTTGAGCTCCTTATATATTCTGATTATTAATCTCTTGTCAGATGAGTAGTTTGAAAATATTTTCTCCCATTCTATGGGTTGTCTCTTCATTTTGTTCATTGTTTCCTTTGCTGTGCAGAAGCTTTTTAACTTGATGTGATCCCATTTGTTCATTTTTGCTTTGGTTGCCCATGCTTGTGGGGTATTACTCAAGAAATTTCTGCCCAGACAAACATCCTGGAGATTTTTCCCCAATGTTTTCTTGAGTAGTTTCATAGTATGAGGTCTTAAAGTCTTTAATCCATTTTGATTTTATTTTTGTACATGGCTAGGGATAGGGGTCGAGTTTCATTCTTCTATGGATATCCTGTCATCCCAGCCATGGTTTATTGAAGAGACTGTCCTTTCCCCCAATATAAGTTCTTGGCACCTTTGTAGAAAGTGAGTTCACACATTGAAGCATTCTGAACAAGAGTAAAATAAGGTCAATTTTCCACTTTATTATGTCTGTGATTTAGAGTGGAGGGAATGGAGGATAGATTTGAATAATAAGGAGTTTTTGTATTCCTTTATTCAGCAAACTGATTCCAGGCAATGTGCTAGACGCTGGGAGAGTTACTGTTATGGTTTTGGATTCAGGTTCAAGTACCAAGCATGAACAGTTTCCCTGCACCTGTTAAAACTGCATTCAAAATCGGCCCCTCCAAGTAGATAGGCCAAATTCTAGGCCTGGGTTCTTCTTAATTAAAAAGTGGAAAAGGATATTCAATTGGAAGTTGAGACCTAGATTCTGATCTTCATCTGAAAACGGGTGATATGGTTTGGCTATGTCCCCACCCAAATCTCATCTTGAATTGTAGCTCCCATAATCCCCACATGTCATGGGTGGGACCCAGTGGGAGGTAACTGAATCATGGGGGTGGGTCTTTCCCATGCTGTTCTCATCACAGTGAATAAGTCTTGTGAGATCTGATGGTTTTCTAAAGGGCAGTTCTCCTAGACACAGTCTCTTGCCTGCCACCATGTAAGACATGCCTTTTCTCCTCCTTCACCTTCTGCCATGATTGTGAGGCCTTCCCAGTCACATGGAACTGTGATTTCATTAAACCTCTTTTTCTTTATAAATTACCCAGTCTCAGGTATTTGTATTTCTACATCACAGTATGAAAATGAACTAATACGGCCGGGCGCAGTGACTCAAGCCTGTAATCCTAGCACTTTGGGAGGCCAAGGCAGGCAGATCACGTGGTCAGTAGTTCAAGACCAGCCTGGCCAATATGGTGAAACCCCGTCTCTACTAAAAATACAAAAATTAGCCGGGCATAGTGGAGCACGCCTGTAGTCCCAGCTACTCAGGAGGCTGAGGCAGGAGAATCACTTGAACCCGGGAGGCAGAGGTTGTGATGAGCCGAGATTGTGCCACTGCTCTGCAGCCTGGGAAACAGAGGGAGATTCTGTCTCACAAAAAAAGTAAGAGAAAATGAACTAATACAAGAGGGATGGTCATACCTTCCCTAATGACCTCACAGAATTGCTGTGTATATAAAATAAGATACTTGACATGGAGGCCCAAGGAAAGACTTCATTCTTATCCTGGATAAGTTGCTGTTATTTTGGGGTTTTTTAAATAAAAGGAGTATATCCTCATGGACAAAAACTCAAATAGTGTAATAAGGTAAAAAATCAGAAATTAAAGTCTTCTTTTTCCTGCTCAACCCATCCTTAACCCATGTTTTCTCTACCCAAAAAGTAGTCATACTTTAACAGGTTTTTTGTTTTTTGTTTTTTGCTTTTTGTTTGTTTGTTTGTTTTTGAGATGGAGTTTCGCTCTTGTTGCCCAGGCTGGAGTGCAATGGCACGACCTCAGCTCACCACAAGCTCCACCTCTCAGGTTCAAGCGATTCTCCTGCCTCAGCCTCCCGAGTAGCTGGGATTACAGGCATGCACCACTATGCCTGGCTAATTTTGTATTTTTAGTAGAGATGGGGTTTCTGCATGTTGGTCAGGCTGGTCTCAAACTCCCGACCTCAGGTAATCCGCCCACCTCAGCCTCCCAAAGGGCTGGGATTATAGGCATGAGCCACCATGCCTGGACCCACTTCAACAGTTTTTTCTGCAGCCTCTCTGGAAGAAAAAAAAAATCTTGCACATATCTGTACTTTACATGTGTGTGCCTTTAAATTTTTACATACCTGGGATTGCGGAGGTTTTAAAACATAAACCCTAAATTATTTGACACTCTTTGTATCAAGAGGCAAAGTCTAAATTCCCTCCCCTTGAGTCTGGGCTCACTGACTGCTTAACTCAAGTTCAAATAGAATATAGTACAAGCGATGCTGTGCCAAGTGTTTGGACCAAGACCTCAAAAACTGGTAGCTTCCATTTCCTGTGCCTTAAGATGTTTGTTCTCAGAACTCAGCCACATGCTGTAAGCAAGCGGGACAACCACATAAGGATGCCCCATTCAAGGCAACAGCCAACATCAACTACAAGATATGTGAACAAGAAAGCCTTCACATGATTCCATCTCTAAACATTAGGTCGCCCCCAACCTCTAAGCCATCCTGCTAACTCCAGGTGGAATAAGACAAGCTGCTCCTGCCAAGCTCTCCCAATTTGCAGGTTTGCAAGCATAATTAATAACTGTAGTTTGAAGTCACTAAGTTTGGGATGATTTTTATGCAGCAATAGACAACTGGAGCAGTGATCATATTTTACCCACTGCTCTGAATATTACATTTTTGTTTTTAATAAAATACCTTGGAGATCTTTCAGTAATAACACATACATATCTAAATAGCTTATTTTAATAACCTAGCCTTCCATTGCATGGATGTTCCATATTAAATCAATCAATATTCTATTAATGAGCAGTTAGATTATTTTCAGGGTTTTAGCATTACAAACAACACTGAAATGAGCATTTTAACGTATTTTGGAATATATCTGTAGGATAAATTTCTAATAGTTAAATGCTGGGTCAAAAGGAATAAGCATTTAAAATTTTGATAGCTATGAGCAAATTCCATATCCCTCTCCCCAAAAATAATAAAGGTTGCATCAGTTTATGCTCCTACTTATTTTTCTATGTCTTTAGCACTGGATTTATCAGATTTTTGAATTTTTGCAAATCTAATATTTTTTAGAAAGTTACCTAATTATTGTTTTGTTTGCATTCCTTTAATTATGGTTGAGAATATTCTGGTTCAAATTCTCTGAAGAAGCACAAACCAAATTCAGTTTTAGTTCATTTGGAGGTTCTTTCGGTTTGTTTGTTTGTTTGTTTGTTTGTTTGTTTTTAGAGACAGGGTCTCACTATGTTGGCCAGGTGGGGTTTTGTTTGTTTGTTTGTTTGTTTTGTTTTTGAGATGGAGTCCTGCTCTGTTGCTCAGGCTGCAGTGCAGTGGTGAGATCTCGGCTCACTGCAACCTCTGCCTCCCGGATTCAAGCGATTCTCCTGCCTCAGCCTCCTGAGTAGCTGGGATTACAGGCAGATGACACCATGCCCGGCTAATTTTTGTATTTTTAGTAGAGACGGAGTTTCACTAAGTTGGTCAGGCTGGTCTCGATCTCCTGACCTCGTGATCTGCCCGCCTCGGCCTCCCAAAGTGCTGGGATTACAGGTGTGAGCCACTGCGCCCAGCCTGCCAGGTGGGTTTTGAACTCCTGGCCTCAACTGATCCTCTCCCTGCTTGGCCTTTCAAAGTGCTGGGATTACAGGCATGAGTCACTGCTCCTGGCCTTAATTTTGGAAAAACAGCCATATACTACTTGAGGCTTGGAGGAGATAGGATTGCCCCAAAGGAACCCTAAAGGCTTCTCCTCTTCTTCCTTCCTCAGAGAACCCCAATTTGTTCAGGTATTGGGGAACCTTGTGTTTCAGGGGAAGCTGGGCTTATACCTACCCAGAAACTGACCTTTGATTACCCTAAGCCAGATGTTCTCAAACTTTTTGATCTCCACATCCCTTTAAACGCTTAAAAATCATTGAACATCTCCAAAGCACTTTTATGTGGATTATACCTATTGATATTTACTGTACAAGAAATTAAAACTGAGAAATTTTAAAGCATTTAATTCATTAAAAATAACAGTAATAAACAAATTACATGCTAAAATATTTTATGAAAAATAACTATAATTTTCTGAAGAAAAAATGTAGCAAGAAAACAGACATTGTTTTACATTTTTGCAAATTAATATCTGGCTTAATAGAAGACACCTGGATTCTCTGCTTCTGCATTCAATCTGTTGCAATATTGTTTTTGTTGAAATAAAGAGAATCTAGCTTAATTCAAATGTAGAGTGTTTTAATAGTTTTTAAATAATTGTGGATATTCTTCCCTAATACTACACTAAAATTTAATAAGTAATATATTCTTTTTTTGCCTTAAACAACATTTATTTTCTCAGAGTTCTGGAGGCTGGAGGTCCGAGATCAAGGTGCTGCAGAGCTGGTTTCTGGAGGGGCTCTCTTTCCAGTCTGCAGATGACTTCTCACTGTGACCTCACCGGGCTTTTCCTCCCTACACACTGGACAGCAAGAGCCCAAGAAGTGATTTATTCTTAGCAGTTAGTAGTGATGTTGAATCAGAAACCAAATCACTAAGCTTTTCATATGTGTTACATTAAAATCTACTGCTCTGTCCTGAACTTTGAAATTTTTATCCATGCATGTCTGTGTAACATCACGCTTTGGTCATTCAAGACATCAGCTTACTGAATGACTCAGATCTAATGTTGATGTGTTTCATTACACAATATCAAAAAAACCACAATTTACTTACATCACTACTATTCTAAACATAGGTCTTTCAGGTTTGGGAAGTTGTCAAGAATACAGCGGCAGCTATAAGTTTTTTGAAATTTTTTTTTTTTTTTTTTTTGAGACAGACTCTCGCCATGTCACTTAGGCTGGAGTGCAGTGGCATGATCACAGCTCACTGCAGTCTTAACCACCCCCCAAGCTCAGGTGATTCTCCCACCTCAGCCTCCCTAGTAGCTGGGACCACAGGCACACACTACCATGACCAGCTAATTTTTTTTATTATTTCTGTAGAGACAGGGTCTCCATATGTTGCCCAGGCTGATCTCAAACTTCTGGGCTCAAGTGATCTTCTCACCTCTCAAAGGGCTGGGATTATAGGCATGAGCCACCACACCTGGTCTTGAAATTCTAATTGTTGCTTAGAAGTCTAATTCTTGGCCAGGCACGGTGGCTCATGCCTGTAATCCCAGCAGTTTGGGAAGCCAAGGTGGGCAGATCACTTGAGCCCAGGAGTTTGAGACCAACCTGGGCAACATGGAGAAACCATGTCTCTACTAAAAATACAAAAACTAGCTGGGCGTGATGGTGCACGCCTGTAGTCCCAGCTGCTCAAGAAGCTGACGTGGGAGGATCACCTGAGCCCAGGATGTGGAGGCTGCAGTGAGCTGAGATCACACCAGGTCACTGCACTCCAGCTTGGGCCACAGAGTGAGATCCTGTCTCAAGAAAAACCCTCTAATTTTCATTGACAATATATATTTTTAGTTGTTTGCCTCTTAATTAATTGTATTGTGTATATTTAAGGTATACCACACAATGTTATAAGATACATATGTAGTAAAATGGTGACTACAGTGAAAGAAGTTAACATAGCCATCACCTTCCATAGTTAACCTTTTTCTTTTCCCTGTGGCCAGAACAACAATAATCTACTCCTTTAGCCAAAAATCTGGATACAATACACTATTATTAATTATAGTCCTCATGTTGTACATTAGATCTTTAAACTTGTTCTTTCTACATAGGTGCTATTTTGTATCCTTTACTTACATCTTCCTATTTCCTGTCCTCCATCCTGCCCCTGATAACCACTGTTTTATTCTCTATATCTGCATATTTGACAGTTTTTTTAGATTCCACATCCATGTGAGATTATGCAATATTTTTCTTTCTGTGGCTGTCTTATTTCACTTACTATAATGTTCTCTAGGTTCATTCATGTTGTTGCAAATGGTAGGATCTCCTTATTTATTTATTTATTTAATCTTTTTTTTTTTTTTTTTTTTTTTTTTGAGACGGAGTCTCACTCTGTCACCCAGGCTGGAGTGTAGTGGTGCAATCTCAGCTCACTGCCACTTCCACCCCCTGGGTTCAAGCAATTTCCTGCCTCAACCTCCTAAGTAGCTGGAATTACAGGTGCCCACCACTATGTCCAGATAATTTTTGTATTTTGTTTCACCATGTTGGCCAGGCTGGTCTCAAACTCCTGACCTCATAACTCTCCAGCCTCAGCCTCCCAAAGTGCTGCGATTACAGACGTGAGCCACCGCGCTCAGCCTAATCTTTTTTTTAATAGAGATGGGGGTCTCAGTATGTTGCCCAGCTTGTCTTTAACTCCTGGGTTCAAGTGATTCTCCCACCTCATCCTCCCAAATTGCTAGGATTGCAGATGTGAGCCACCATGCCCGGCCTCCTCCACTTTAAAACTGAATAATATATGCCTCAGTTTCTTTGTCTATGACAGACACTTATGTTGTTACCACATCTTGGCTGTTGAGAATAACGCTGCAATGAACATGAGCATGCAGAAATCTTTACAAGGTGGTCATTTCATTTTCTTTGGGTATATACTTAGAAAACGGGGTTCTGAGACAAATGTTAATTCTATTTTTAATTTCTTTAGGTACCCCATAGTGTTTTCCATAATGGATGCACCAATCTACATTCCCACCAAGAGTGTACGAAGGTTCTCTTTTCACTCCAGCCTTGCCAACACCTGTTCTCTCTTACCTTTTTGATAACAGCCATTTTAACAGGTGTGAGGTGATAGCTCATAGTGGTTTTCACTTCCATTTCCCTGACAGTGATGTTGAGAATCTTTTCATACGTGTACCTGTTAGCTATTTGTATATCTTCTTTGGAGAAACAGCTATTCAGATCCTTTGGCCATTTTTTAATCTGGTCATGTGTTTTCTTGTACTTGAGTTATACAAGTTCTTTATAAAGTTTGGATATATTAACCCCTTATCAGATATATGATGTGAAAGTAATTTTTCCCAATCTGTAAGATGCCTTTTCATTTTGTTGATTAGTTAGTTATTTTCCTTGAAGTGACAGGCTGACTTTGTTCATTTTTAAGAAAATATCTGCCAAATGCCCAAGTCTGAATAGCCATAGTTTGTCTGACATTTGTTCTTTCCAGTAAAAATGGTGTTCCAGGAAAAAACAAACAAACAAAAAACAATGGCTAGTCTAGCTGGTGACTCAAACAAATGCAAAAGTGCTCTTTCTTGAGACAATCACCACACAGGTTGTTCTGTCTTGGTTTGCAGCAGAAGTGCTGTAATGTTTAATATTTAAAATATGTGTGTGTTCAAAGGTTGTAATTTATTAAAATTAGAGTTTTTGCCACTTCATCAAGGAATTCATAGGTGGAATTGGCTTTTTTAAAACTGATATAGCTTGAGGCCACTACCTTGACTCATGATAAGGTACCAGCTTTATCCACCATTGATTTTGAACCACCAGCAATAGTCAATACAGTGGAAAAGTCATATTATAATGGAAAAGACAAAATAATATATTGTGAAAAATTTTGTACATTGCAGATCCCCTAAAATTGTCTTGGGATCCCCAGAGGTATGCAGACCACTGATCTAAGCCAATCACAGTAGATCACTTTGCCTTGCTACTGATTTGTGCAATTCCAGCCAATGAGATGTGAAAAGAAATCTGGGGATTCTGGGAAAGTTCTCCATACTCTTTCCATGCGGTTCTTCTTTCTTCCTTCCACGTGGTTTTGATGGGACTGCCAATCAAAAAATGGTCTCAAGAATGGGTTGGGGGTAGGTTCTATTCCAGCCTTTGGTTGATGGTGTGTGCAGATGAAATGCTTAAAGCCATCTTGAAATCATGAGAGGGCAAACCTGAGGTCAAATTTCAACACTTCAAGAATAGCAGAGCAAAAAGAGAATAATGGAAGAGACTGAAACTTTTATAACATTACTGAAATTCTAATCAATCCTAGAGCCTCATTACCTCCAGTCTTACTATGTAAGATAACAAATTTTTTTGTTTGATAAATATTAATTGTGCTCTTCTGTTACTTGTAGCTAATACCAAGAGGAAAGCATCAGAAGGGCACATGATGGGCTAGGCCCCTCATTCATGATGGGATCTTGGAAAGTCATTTCATTGCTCTTCCACTGTTCAAGGTGGAAGTTGGATTAAATAATATCAAGGGACCCTTCCTATGGCTTTTAACAGGTTTGCCATTACTTCAGCTAGAGATTTGGTAACTTAGAGACTTGCAACGTACTTATCTAAGCTAGCCTTTTTTGGCTAAGTCAATAAGGGAGTTATTCCTGTTAGATTTAGGTAGTTTTTCTTCCTGCCACTGATGTTCCTTGAAACTGCTCTGAGGATTGACCTGCTTTAGAAGGCTTGAGATAACAGGTGTGGCTACCTCATGTCAGAGTGTAGGTTATGTTATTAAAAGGCCTGTTCCAGAACTGATAAAAGCTGCCTCTCCACAAGAAATCTCAGAACTTCTGTGAGTTATAGCCCTTTATCTTCCTATAGGGAAAGTTCTCAGACCTAAAGTGTTGAAGGCTATAGCAAGCAGAGTGCTTGAAACATATGCTTGGGGAGGCGTGTGCATGGGTTAGGCAACAGTAAAATAGTTAAAGGATTGTAGACCTTAGAGAAAATGGTCCTTTATTACTAGAACAAACTACTCAGGTCAACTTCACTCTAAATCACTTTTGTTTTTCAGTAGGAAATAAGTTTGCTTAGCCGTGATTGCCTTTGGTTAGTGTTATTATAAACCATATTCTTTCATTTTTATCTCTCAAGCAGGTGGTCCCTGGAAAATTTCTAAATTGAATATGAATTCCAGAAGATGATGTCTCGTGGAACATTGGCCAAGGCCATTGAAGTTCTATAGGAGGGCACTTGGTTGAGAACAGCATTTAAGAAGCAAGATCGATCAAACAATTGGAGCATTATAAATGCTTGGTGGTTGACAAGCTTAGTGCATTTTGCTAAGAAATTCTCCTAGCAAATCAGGAATGATTGACTCTTGAACTTCTGGACATAGCAGTTCATTCTTGCAGTCTAGCACATGAGAGGTGATTAAGAGATTTCTTAATCAGAGAATCCTTGGAATTTTTATAATCTTCCCTTACCAGAGGGAAGCTTTGTCTGAATAGATGTTCAGTATCTCTTTGAGCTGTCTTCTCCCCATTCCCCCACACCTCCCACCCAGACTTTACCAGAAGGGCAGAAGGACAGCTAATTAGCTTTGTTGTGGCTGGAATCAGAAGGAATGAAGACGATTCTTATTTTCATGGTAGCTCCCAGCTTCTTTGGAAATACATAAAGAATTCTATTTTTAAAGTTCCTGCAGTTGGGCTATTCTAATAATATAAGATCTTAAAAGCTGATTCCTACCTTAATTGTCTACTTGTCTATCTCCTCCACCATATTGAGTTACTGAATGAGAGAAACTACCTTTTATTTCTATGACTGGAAGTATTTGGTCATAACAGAGAATCAATAGATTTTTTTGAATAAATAACTGTGTCTGAATGAATTAATGAATTAAAAAGCTAATCAGTTTCTTTTTCTAGAGACAGCTCTCATTTTCTTGTGCCTAGCATTTTCTCTTTATTTCAGTAGCAGCAGCCCTCTTTCTTCCTTCCATGTGGTTCCGATGGGGCTGCCAATCAAAATACCCTACTCTCCAACACTACCACAGGGGTGCACATCATCCCCTCTGGGTAATCATGCTATTCCCTGTCACTAACCACAGAAATTGGTCCAAGGAACAGGTAGATGACTCAAGTAGGACCAATTAATTCCCCAGTGTATGGATCGTGGGAGAAAGATTCTGTTCCTTGCTACTGAGGCTCCTAGATTACTTATCCTTGGGAATGCCGGTGTTCATGTTTTCCTCCATATAAAAGCAGCCTATCCAGAGTAGAAGAAAACGTGGAAAGCACAGAAAGAATCAAACAGGTGGAGGGGAGAAGATGAGAATAAGAAAGGGGGAGAGAATGAGAAGGAAAGAGAACCAATCATATTTCTTGTAACCCTGACCCCCTCCCACCCCATCCATCCCATGTCTTGCATCCGGTTTTTCCCTTTATAGTAGTCAGTGTTGGAGTCTCGACTAATATGCTCCCAAGAATTACACCCTCTCTTTACAGCATCAGAAGCTTTTCTCTAAAAAGATAGATTACACCGCATAGCTGTTATGGGTTGGCTCTATTCTGATTCACAGAAGAAAACAATGAGTACATGGCATAGCCCTTAGCTTTCATTCATTAGACTTTTGTAGAAATCACACTTCTTGGCCAGGAATGGTGGCTCATGCCTAGAATCCCAGCACTTTGGGAGGCCGAGGCGGGCAGATCACCTGAGGTCAGGAGTTTGAGACCAGCCTGGCCAACATGGCCAAACCCCGTCTCTACTAAAAATACAAAAATTAGCCGGGCGTGGTGGCGGGCGCCTGTAATCCCAGGTACTTGGGAGGGTGAGGCAGGAGAATCACTTGAACCCAAGACGTGGAGGTTGCAGTGAGCCGAGATTGTGCCATGGCACTCCAGCCTGGGTGACAAGAGTGAAACTCCGTCTCCAAAACAAAACACACTTCTTTCCACCTTAGAGACAGGCCAAAATCACCTTTCATGCGACTCTGAGCCATGGTAGAATCACACTGCCTGCCAGTCCCCAGTTCTATCTCTAAACACTTCAGTCTGTGTCTACACAGCAATGTTTCAGTGCTTGTTTGGATTTTTTAACGTCTATAATTTTCTAATGACTTGATTAAGACCAAGTTCTAATCCTTGTGTAGAAACAGAATATAATCCGAACAAAGGTGAGAACTGTTAGCTGTGCTTAAAATGGTGACTAAGAGAAAAACTTTATGTCCCATTAGGGGTAAAAAAAGAATAAAATTAAAGAGCATCCATCCTACATGCCACAAAGCCAGAGCTGGCTGCCACGGTGGCAGTAAAGACACAGGTGAGTAAACACAGGCACAGCCCCTGCCTCAGTTTATCTGTAGTCCAGTGCTAGAGACAAATATTAATGAAACAATCACACTGTGGCAGATGCTGCAAAGGAAAGGACCATGGTGCCAGGTGTGCTGATTATGAGGGTACTGACTACCTCAGGGAGGTCTGGGGGTGCTTCTTGGAAGAGGTGCTGAACTGAGATCGGAGAATGGGTAGGAATTAACTATTAGATGAAGAAGGGGTGCGTGGTGAAGCAGATGCTACCAGTCCCCTGCTCAGTTCCCCTATCACCACATTCCTGGGCAGTAGGATAGCTTCCTACTGCAAACACATGTTTTCCCCAAGGGCTTTCTCTGGCCATGGGAGTGGCCTCAGCCCATGCACAGGACAGGCCAGAAGTACCAGGAAAATGGCAATCCCAGGAGTAGTCATCAACCTATAGTCAATAGGAATTAGAGTACAAATAACTCACCTTCTCACCCCTCAGGATGGACAACTCAGAGGCATGTTCTGTGCCATTTCCCAGAAGGCCTTAGTGAGTCTCAGCCTCAACTGCCCTCTCTAGGACTCTGCTCATTACTGTACCTGTGCTGGCTTCCCCTTTTTCCTGACTCACTGTCCCCACTCCCTCAGCAGTGCTTTCTGGATCACCTTTCCAATAAATTACACAAACTCAAGTCCCAGTCTCAAAGTCTGCTTCTGGGAAAACCCAGTCTAAGACAGGGAGGTAGGAGTAAGGATAGTGAGAGCATTCAGGCTGGAGGAAAGGTCTGTGCAAAGGCACTGTGGTAGAAAGGAGCATGAAAAGTTCCAGGGACTGAAAGATGCTACTGTCATTGGAGTAGAAAAAATGAGGAACAGGTGGGATGAGATGTATTTGGAGAACTTGAGTGGGTAGGAGGACAGGAGGATGAGGGTGGGGAGGGAGGTAGATCATAGACCATGTAAAGCAGTTTTGCCTTTATCCTCAGCAGAGTGAAAAGCCATTGAAGAGTTTCATCCAAGGGCCTGATGTGATCTAATTTGTGTTTTGAGACAGTGACTTATATTGTATTTCAATGTGAAGAGTAGAGTGGAGGGGACCAGGGTAGATGGGTTTGGAGTGGTTAAGTGTACATGACAGTGGTCCAGGACAAGGTGACAGTGACTTGGACTGCAGTTATTGAAAGAGGTTGAGTTAAGGGGTAGATCCGCAGAATATTTCAGAGGCAAAATTGATAGGATTTGGAGATGGATTAGGTATGAGAGATGAGAGAGAGGAAGGTTATCAGAGATAACACCTAGGTTCCGTCTTTCCTGTTTGGATACCAGCTATATTTCTAGCATAGACACGCAAGAAATAAATGATTAAAGATTGTGTCTTAAATGCTAGGTATACATTAGAGATGTTATGCTTTTGTTTCTCTGGGACTAAAACCTACCTGAGCAGTTATGCTGCTGTTTTACTTTTGCATGTGAAACTTCTGTACAAGATGGAGACTGTTGGAATATGAAAGAATAAGAAACAAAATCTGACAGTGGCTCAAAACTTAAACTAAAAACTAAACATCACCTTATTTTAATACTGAACAGTAGTCCACCCTTCCCCAGTCCCCAGCTTACATAATTGGCAGGGAAGTGTTCTCACATGGACTCAAAACAAGATGAAAGCCGTCTGGCAGCAAAGGCCTAGGCCGATTAAATGTCTTTCTCCTTCAAACCAGCCTGATGCCACCCAGAATTTAAACCTTGTTAAAATGTATATGCCTCTTAAATTTGTCCCGGGTCATGATGAGACAGGGAAAGAAGAGGACAAAGAATGCAAGCTTGGGAAGAACAAACTATAGGACAAGGAAGAAATTAAATAAGCTCTTTACAGTTTTATCTTAGGCCCAAGCCCACGAGAGAGTGAAGGGCAAAAGTGATGAGATGGAAGGAGTTGTGGCATTTTATAGATGGTAGAAAACTTAGAAATCTAAGATTTCTCAATGTCACCACTATTGACATTAGGTCCAGAAAATTCTTTCGAGAACTTGGAGGGTGAGGGAGGGACGGTTCTATGCATGGTATGATGTTCAGCAGGAACCCTGGCTTCTCCCCATTCGATGCCAGTCACACCCTCCCCTGCTAGGACAACCAAAAATGTGTTCAGACATTGCCAAAGGTCCACTGAAAAGCAAAATTGCCCTTGTTGAGAACCACCCAACTAGTCTAATGCCTGCATTCTACAGATGAGGAAACTCAGAGCCATCATGGGAAAGACTTGCCCAAGGCTGCACAAAGTCAAGACAAGAATCTAGATTGTTCCAAAATAGTATGATCTTTCCATTTAAAAAAATGTTTGCAGACAAAGACTTCTGTTGTTTATAAGCCTGACTATAACTTAAAATCATTAAAGAAAAATCATTAAAGAATAATCAAGCAATATTGGGAACACATCCAAAGGTAAAGAAAGCCATCTTTAGATGCTAGTGGGTGCAAGGCAAATCTGCCCAAAGAGTTTTTGCATTGTTGAGGGCACCATGAATTAGAGCAGCAATGGGTGTTGAGACAAAATACATGAATTTTAATTTTATTTGTATCAAACTCAGAAAAATTCTATTTAGAATACAAATCAAGGAATATTATTCAGCCTTAAAAAAGAGATAAATCCTGTCAAAGTTGGACACTATGCTAAGTGAAATAAACCCATCATAGAAGAAGAAATACATACTACATGATTTCACTTATATGAGGTATCTAAAGTAGTCAAACTCATAAAAGCATAAAGTAGAATCGTGGTTTCCAGGGGCTGAAAGGGAAGGAGAAATGGGGAATTGCTATGCAATGGATATAAAGTTTTGGTTATGCAAGATGAAAATGTTCTAGAGATCTGCTATACAACCTCATGCCTATAGTTAACAATACTGTACTGTACACTTAAAATTTTGCTAGTAGGATAGATTTCAATGTTATGATTTTTTAACCACCAAAAAAAAGAAAAAAGAAAAAAAAGAGCACAAGTCAAGGACTGTTACTATTCTTCTCCCCATTTCCTGCAGAGTCAACTCTTATCTGGAAATGTTTCCAGTGTTTGATTGACGACAACCTGAGAAAGGCTGGTCCCAAATCCCAGTCCTCATTTATAAAGCTCAAGTAACCACAAAGTTGCAGAATACAAAACGCCTTTTAAATCCAGTGTTAATTATCACCAAAGACCCATATTTTCAAACACAAGTGCAAATCTCACTTTTTATAGAAAGCTGGTTTTTAGAAATGTCATAGAATGTTAATGCCTAGACGGCATGTTGGCCAAATCCTTCTTGTTAGAGATAAGGGCCTGAACACTCTGAGTAGCTGTGATTTGCCCAAGGTCATCCAGCCAGTTAGCGATAAAATCCTGCTTGAAAACCCAGGTCTCCCAAACTCAGATCCAAGGCTTCCTCCACTTTACCAAACTGCTTTCCTGCTCCTCCAGGGACTCCAACTCCCCAAACCCATTAATATGAATTATTGAAATGTTACCGTCATCTCAGAGAGGAATGAAAGAACACCTAGGTTTTTCAAACTGTCAAGCAATGTCAAAGCAGAGAGAGATGTGATGAAAAAAAAAAGCAAAAACTGCAAAATTTGTTAAAAAGAAAGAAAATTCAAAAGATAGAGAAGAAAAATACCAGAGAAAAAAACAGCCCCCAACCCCTGCCCCAAAAAAAGACATTCACAAAGATATGCTTCTAGTTATTTTTGGTGCCCTGAGAAGTGTTTGAACTGCTGCCAAAATTGCTTTTGACCTAAATGGAGAATAAAAACTATTTTCTTTATCTATTGAGAGTAAAATCAAATTTCATGTTAGGAAGCATTCGTTTGGATGAGGTAAGTTAAAATGTTAAGAAATAGAGTATTCTTATCCAAACCTCACAAACGTGGGGCACTCAAGAAATGTTTGTTGCTTAAAAGAATATCCAGAGTTTACTAATTTATATGAGGATAGCACTGAACATGAAGTTTATTATTTTAATCTTGCTCCTAAATAAACCTCCTCATGACCCTCCTCCCCCCACCACCACATTTGTACACACAGTCACTATGAGTTTCCTTTAGCTTTGGGCTTTTACACACACACATACACGAACTCTTTTTCTAATTTGTTTATTTTATATGGTTACAGATACATAATAATTGTACATAATACTATTGTTATGATTATTATTATTTATTATATTAATATTAATAATAGTATTATGTAGAATTGTTATGTATATCCACATATATAGAGTACATATGATATTTTGATACAAGCATACAATGTGTAATAATCAAATCAGGCACTTGAGATAGCCATCACCTCAAACATTTATCATTTGTGTTAAGAACATTTCAGATCAACTCTTCTAGCTCTTGTGAAATAGATAATAAATTATTGTTAGTTATAGTTACCTTATTATAACTTTTTAAAACTTTTTAAAAATTATTATGGATACATATTTATGAGACCAATCCTTACCCTCTCCCTTCTTTCAGTCATTCCCCCTTATACACCACCCAAGTTGAAATAAACTGTAGAAAAATCATTTCCACTCCTACATCTATTTCCTTTGTTGGTATATGTATTAGGTACGGTGCTCTTGGTTGCAAGGAAATGCAATCCCAAATAAAATTATCTTTGAAGAATAGCTACATTTATTATTCCCCATAACAAGAAGTCCTGAGATAGCATCATCACCAAGCACAGCAAATATTTGTTGACTTGGATTGACCTGCAGCACTTTCTCCGGAGAGGATTTAAAAGATATATAAACTGTGGTTCCAGGAGCTTGTAGTCCAGCTGGGAGACACATGTTCACAACCCAAAAACAAGGCAGTATAATACACACTGAGTAATTGCTAGGCTATGCACGGTCTTGCAAGTGCTGAAAGGGAGGAGAGCTCTCTAGCTGGAATGGAGAAAATTCACACACAGAGGATGTGAATGTGCATGAGGTTTTTAAGATTGGGGCAGATTCTGATAGGTGGAGATGTTGGTATAAAGGAGCATTCAAGGTGGAGGAAACTGTTGAAAGAAGAAGAGAAGGTTGATTTTTGAAGCATGCATGTAAACTGGTTTGATTGGAGCAAAGAATTTGTTCCTCCAGGCATGGAGAGAGGTGAAAGGTGGTAATGTCCATATCCAGCCATGAAGACCAGGATCACAACAAGTGAGAATCTCTAAATAGAGTGGAATTGGGAAGGCCATGCCCTCACGTGGTCCAAGGAGGCCCTGTTGAGTGGGAGGCAGACTCTCTCCTAAAGGAAGCCAAAATTCCTCATGGGACGCCCAGACTCTGTCAAGCCTGAATTGCTACATAAACAGAAAATAGAGAACAAGAACTGAAGTCCTTGCCCAGAAGAGTCTAGAGCTAGGTGGAAGGAGCTGTGAGTATGAGTCAAGAGAACACTTCCAGGGCATTGAGATGCTACCTTTCTGGAGTGTCCATTGGCCTTGTAGAAGCAGAAACCCTACTGCAGAGGCCCACAAAGGGAAGGAATGAGGAGCAAGTCCAGGATACAGTGGGGAGACTTGAGCTTTTCCGTAGTTTTAACTCTCGTCTCCATTTCCTGAGGGGGCAGGCAGCTGAGGGAAGGAGGCCCGATTCAGTCAAAGAGCAGCTATTGGCCACATGCAGCGGCTCACACCTGTAATCCCAACACTTTGGGAGGCCGAGGCGTGCAGATCACTTAAGGTCAGGAGTTCGAGACCAGCCTGGCCAACATGGCGAAACCTCATCTCTACTAAAAATACAAAAATTAGCTGGGCATGATGGCAGGGGCCTGTAATCCCAGCTACTGAGTCAGGAGGCTGAGGCAGAAGAATCACTTGAACCCAGGAGGAGGAGGCTGCAGTGAGCCAAGATGGCGCCACTGCACTCCAGCCTGGGCAACAGAGCAAGACTCCATCTCAAAAAAAAAAAAAAAGAAACAAAGAACAGCTATTGTATCGGTCAGCATGCAAGTAATGGAAGACTTAAGTAATTGTGAATTTGTAAGTTTATTATTTAGTCATTTGTTATAGATTACCATATAATATATTTATATTTTATATAACAATAAGTCCAGCTGTGGAAAGTTCCAGCGCTGGTTGATCTGGGTTGGTGATATCTGGCCTGTGGGGCAGCTTCTCTGGGATTCTTTGGCCTTCTCCCTCAGGACTGCGAGATAACTGCAGCAGCTTCATTACCAAGTGCTCATGCCACGTCCTCCGAAACCAGGAAGAAGGTGGAAGGGCCTCTCTATGTACATCCCTCTATTTTAGAAGGAGAAAAACCAAAGCTACCTCTATCCCCCACAGTAGGTGTCCATGGGCATCATCCTGACGGGCAGTGCTGGCTCACAACCCTATGCTCTGGGTTCAACTGAATGGGAAAAGAGAGCATTTAGCCTTTGCAACCTCTCTAATAGGTTTTGGGCTCTGCCAGACAGAAGAGGAGGGTCAGGAATGCATGTGAGCAGGCAAGCCACAGTGCCCTGTCTGTCGGGGCATGGAAGAGGGACGGGAGATGACATCAGAGCAGGCTCCACTTGGATCACAAAGCAAGGGACCTGCAGTGCCTTGCTGAGGAGTTTAGAGTTTATTTTATTACTCTGAGAACCCAGCATAAATTTCTGTGGTGGGGAGGAAGGCCCTGATTGGCACTGACTTTTGGAAAAATAACCCTGGAGGCAAAGGTGGGAGAAGATTGGGAAGGGGTTGGGCAGTTCAGGGTAGGGCATGGATTGGGCTGACTGGGACACTCTGGGACTCTTGGGGGAATTAGTAGACTTTCCCCGAACCTAGGAACATTTAGGTAGATTGTTCAGGAATAACCAGTGTGCAGAGAGTCAGGAAACTCGATTCTAGGCCCGGCGGTTCCATTAAATGGTTACTGCACATGAGGTCACTGCCCCTCCCTGAGCCTTAGTTTCCTCATCTCTAAAATGAGATCACTGGACTAAATTCTCCACATCTCTCCCTCCTTCAACAATCAACAACCCAAGGGTGGCTCTTTGTTTATTTAAGCAGATGCTGTCTACGCACTTTATAAACAAAAAAGCTGGGCTGATCTGGGCTGGATTGTTTGCACACTGCCATCAGCTGAGTGTGATCATGGCTTTTCCCTCCAACATCTGCAACATCATCAGTAGTGTCTATACTTCCAAATACAATGGGGTTTATTATCATTAATGATAGTTATTGTTATTGAAGAACCAGAGAACTTTAGTCTCATACTGATATTTTGTTTCATGTCTCACTGAATCTCCTCTTCCTAACACATCTCTATTTGTTTTTTTTTTTTTGAGACATCATCTCTCTCTGTTGCCCAGGCTGGAGTGTAGTGCAATGATCACTGCTTACTGCAGCCTTGAACTCCTAGGCTCAAGGGAAACTCCCGCCTCAGGCTCCTGAGTAGCTGGGACCACAAGTGCATGCCTCCATGCCCAGCTAATTTTTTTTTTTCTGTAGAGACAGGGGTGTCCCTGTGTTGCTCAGGCTGGTCTCAACCTCCTGGGCTCAAGTGATCCTCCTGCCCTGGCCTCCCAAAGTGCTGGGATTACAGGAATGAATCACCACACCCAGCCTCTTTTACATTTTAAGATGAATATAGGCTGGGCACGGTAGTTCACACCTGTAATCCCAGCACTTTGGGCGGCCACCGTGGGCAGATCATGTAAGCTCATGAGTTCAAGACCAGCCTGTGCGACATGGCGAAAACCTGCCTCTATAAAAAATACAAAAATTAGCCAACTTGGTGGTGCACACCTGTAGTCCCAGCTACTCAGGAGGCTGAGGTGGAAGGATAGCTTGAGTCTGGGAGGTGGAGGTTGCAGTGAGATGGCACCACTGCACTCCAGCCTGGGCGATAGAGCAAGACTCTGTCTCAAAAAATAAATAAATAAAAGAAAATAAAAAAATTAAAAAAGCCGGGCGCGATGGCTCACGCCTGTAATCCTAGCACTTTGGGAGGCCAAAGTGGGTGGAACATTTGAGGTCAGGAGTTCGAGACCAGCCTGGCCAACATGGTGAAACCTCGTCTCTACTAAAAATACAAAAAAAAAAAAAAAAATTAGCTAGGCGTGGTGGCGCATGCCTGTGATCCCAGCTACTCAGCAAGCTGAGACAGAAGAATACTTTGAACCCGGGAGGTGGAGGTTGCGGTAAGCCGAGATCACACCATTGCACTCCAGTCTGGGCAACAAGAGTGAAACTCCACCTCAAAAAAATAAAAAATAAAAATAAATAAGTAAATAAATAAATAAAATCACATGAGGTTTTTTCAAAAGGCAGATTCAAGAACCCCAGTCTAGATTAGAGCATCTGTATTTCTAGGGCTGGAGCCTGGCAATGTATACATTGAAAACCCTACCCAGGGAGATTCTGATGGGCCCCCTAAATTCTCTTTATTCATATTGGTCAATAGACATTTATTCAAGACCTACTGTGGGCCAAGACTGAAAGGTCTAGAATATATAGAAATAAAAAATTTTGTTCGTGCCCTCAAGGAATTCAGCAAATTATGGGGAAAGATAACCATGAAAACAGACATTGACTAAACAGTATAAACTCTTTGAAAGACAGAGGTACTAAATGTGATAGGAACACAGATGAGGGGCTTCCAAGCATGCCAGGCAAGAAGCCTTCCCAGAGGAGGTAGCACTTGAATTAAGCTTTAAAGACCATCAAAAGTTTCACAAGGTGGGAAGAGGGAAGCCACAGGGAAAGGCCAGGACTTCAGAAACATAGATCTTACAAGTAAGGTACAGAGACTGAGCAGGCAGAGACCAGGTAAGGGGTAAGGGGAAGTGAAAGGGGAATTAATAACAACAGAAACTCCTCCCTGCCTCAAGCACCCCTTGCATCTGTGTCTGCAGACTGCCCCTATCTTTCTCTTGACTTGCTGTGCCAACCCTGGGGAATCACAGACAGAACTGGCTGTTGGTTCAGGGGTGTGAAGTTGAGGAAGTTGAGAAGATGCTACTGCAAGAGCCAGATGGGGCCAGGCACTGTAGCTCATTCCTGTAATCCCAGCCCTTGGGGAGGCCAAAGCAGGGGGATCCCTTAAGTCCAGGAGTTCGAGACCAGCCTGGGTAACATGGAGAGATCTCATCTCTACAAAATTTTTTTTAAAATAGCTGGGCGTGGTGGCACATGCTTGTAGTCTCAGCTACTTGGGAGGCTGAGGTGGGAGGATTGCTTGAGCCTGGGAGGTTGAGGCTGCAGTGAGCTGTGATTGTGCCACTGCATTCCAGCCTGGGTTACAGAATAAGACCCTGTCTCAAAACAAATAAACAAGCCAAATAAACAAAAAGAACCAGATGAGTTGGGAGGGAGTGCTACTCTGAGCTTTTACTGAAAATATGTGAAACCGCCCCTACAGAAATTAGCAACTAAAAAAGCAGAGGGCTGGGCTCCGCAGCTGGGTCTGGGATCTTCCTCCCTAGCCTCTCCCCACATACCCCTTAAGCTGCACTTGGCCTTGGAAGAAGTATCATCCCAATTTCCCTTCTTTCAAGGCTGGCCCTGGATGCACAGACCGATGACACCTCATTGGCAAATATATTGATTATGGGGATGGGGATGAAACTCGCAATATGCCTGCAACCTATCCCTTGAGGGTAGCCAAATCTATTTAAATTGACCTGAGTGGTGCTCTTTTCTGAAGAGAAACTGACTATACAATCCACAGTTTTCCCTCTCTCAAAAGTGTACCCTTGGCAGTTACCTGGCTCTGTGGATTCATTTCATTCAGCTTCCATTTTGTTGAACACACTTCAAAATCCTGCTGCTTCTATCCCTAATGCTCTATTTAACAGGCGCCACAGTGCACCAGCCCCTCACAGTGAAGGCTCGCCTAATCCTGACACACGTAGCCTAGAGCAAAGATGAGACCTGTTAAGAGTTTAGACTAAGATAGTCTTCATTTAATGATTTACAGAGTCTCCCTGTCTCTCAGAAAAAAGTTTAGAGAAAATGCTTTTTATGTGAGTCAAACATCAATCTCTCCCAGAGCTTCAAGACACTCATTAAGCACCACTGTTTACAAGGTAGCCAGCATGAAGATATTCAAGGCCAGGGCAAATACAGACAAATAGAAATGCTTGCCTGAGGCTGCTGAAGTTTCTAGAATACAATATTCAGGGTAACCCATAATGAAGAGGCTGCTGAGCCTGCTGTGGTCTGTTTCCCAGACCTCAGCTTACAAACAGCAAAGGGCAGCCCCTTTGTGTTCTACTGTCCAGATTCCTTTGAAGGAAGAGTTTGCTTTCAGGAAGAGAATTCAAAAAGGTCAATAAGGCGAGATTGAGAAAACCTAGGGTAGCCTAGGCAGGGAAAAGATGTGTTTTCTTTCCTGTGTGGCTAAAAGCTGATACCATCGGTTATTTGCGTGGGTGAAGGCTAACAGTTGCTTGCCTATCCTGGCATATCACAGCTGGAAGGAATTCCAGAGACCACTAGCCCAGCCCCATCACTGACAGATGATGGGAAACCCTTAGGCTCAGAGAGTGAAGTGGTTTTCCTGAAGTTACACAAGTTAGCCGACTAGAACTAGGTTCTGGGTCTCTCCTAGGGATTGAATGCTTGTGCCCCTCTCCCCTCAAAATTCACATGTTGAAACCTAATTCCTAATGTGATGGTATTTTGAGGTCAGGACTTTGGGAGGTGATTAAATGATGAATATGGTCATGAATGGGATCAGTGGCCTTATAAAAGAGACCCAAGGGGCCAGCTGCCGTGGTTCACGCCTGTAATCCCAGCACTTTGGGAGGCCAAGGCAGGCAAATCACTTGAGGCCAGGAGTTCGAGACAAGCCTGGCCAACATAGCAAACCCCATCTCTACTAAGAATACAAAAAAAAAATTGCTGGGCACGGTGGCGCATGCCCGTAATCCCAGCTACTCAGGAGGCTGAGGCAGGAGAATTGCTTCTACCCAGGTGGTGGAGGTTGCAGTGAGCTGAGTTTGTTCCACTGCACTCCAACCTGGGCAACAGAGCGAGACTTTGTCTCAAAGAAAAAAATAAAAGTAATAAAATAAAAGAGACCCAAGGGAGCTCATTCCACCATATGAAGACATAGCAAGAAGGAGCCATCGATGAGAAAGTGAGCCCTTACCAGACAATAAATTTGCCTAAGCCTTGATCTTGGACTTCCCAGCCTCCAGAACTGTGAGAAATAAATTTCTGTTGTTTATAAGTCACCCAGTCTATGGTATTTTGTTGTAGCAGCCCAAACAGATTAAGACAGACCCCAAGCCCATTGCACCACACTGTGTCCCTCCCTACACCACATCCTTGAAAACCGACCCTGTTTTCAGCCAAAGAAATTGCTGGTGCTGGATGTTACAAAATAAACCTTCTATTGAAAAATATTTTTCTTCGTTTTCCAAAAACCTCAAGTTTGCCCGTGTGTGTGCTGACACCTACGTGTAGTATAAACTCACCTGTCTCTGAGAGGGGAGAGATTTAAAGAGATCATCTTGCCAGGTCTACAATTGCAGGCCAGGTAGGTTAAATGATGGCCACAGCTAGGAGCTAAAGAGGAGATCAGAGGACTCTGACATTTCTTTCAACCTTGAGTATTCCTGTTTTCCCACTTCCACTCTGGGAAAAACAGTGAACTGAATCACTATGGAGTTGATATCCTGCTGTGTTTGGCTGCAGACCCTCCAATTCCAGATAAATGCACTCTCAGTCCTGCCCATCTTCCAGTAAACAGAGAAGCAAGAGCAGAGCTCTGCTGACAAAACACCTCTAGGCTGCGGCCATGTTCCATCTGCTCTGGGGAGTGGCCAGAAGGCAAGACCAGAGTCCAAGGTGACTCTGCAGTTGGGATGGGGGGAAAGGAGAGTCAGGAAGGGCTGCTGGAGTAACAGCTGGGAATGCTGACTGACAAGCAGTGGGATAAACCATGTTGGAGAAGGGCAGTTGGGAAGGAAGAATGTGATATGGTTTGGCACTGCGTCCCCACCCAAATCTCATCTCAAATTGTAATCCCCAGGTGTTGAGGGAGGGACCTGGTGGGAGGTGACTGGATCATGGGGGCAGTTTCCCCCATGCTGTTCTCATGATAGGGAGTGAGTTCCCATGAGATCTGATGGTTTTATAAGGGGATCTTCCCCCTTCACTTCCTTCACATGCTGTCTCGCCTGCTGCCATGTAAGACTTCCCTGCTTCCCCTCTGCCATGATTACAAGTTTCCTGAGGATCAGCCATGCAGAACTGTGAGTCAATTAAACCTCTTTTCTTTATAAATTACCCAGTCTTAGGCAGTTTTTTGGTTTTTTTGTTGTTGGTGGTGGTTTTTTTTTTTTTTTTTTTGAGGCAGAGTCTCACTTTCTCACCCAGGTTGGAGTGCAGTAGCGTGATCTCGGCTCACTGCCAATCTCTGCCTCCCGGTTTCAATAAATTCTCCCACCTCAGCCTCCCAAGTAGCTGGAATTACAGGCATGCACCACCGCACCTGGCTAATTTTTGTATTTTTAGTAGAGATGGAGTTTTGCCATGTTGGCCAGGCTGGTCTCGAACTCCTAACCTCAGGTGACCCACCTGCCTCGGCCTCCCAAAGTGCTGGGATTACAGGCATGAGCCACTGGGCCCAGCCAGGCAGTTCTTTATAGCAGTGTGAGAACAGACTAATATGGGGTATGAACCAAGCTATTTGGAATGAGAGTCATGAAGGAACAGTACCCAGCCCAAGGCAGTGGTACTGGGATTAAATTGGACAATTAAGAGATAGCAGCAGTACTAAAGACAGGAATCCAGGTAAAGGAACATGGGACAGAAATATAGATGAAAATGAACTCAACATTAAGAGCCTGTTTAGTCCATCATCCCATCTTCAGGCAAGACTACAGAACACGGCTTTCATGAGGGGGCAGATTATGTTGGGATGGTTTAGCAACACCAAGGTTAAGGCCCAGAAATGTCAGCATGTGCAATTGGCTACAACACAGCCTGTCGGCATTCTATGTGTTCAGCCTCGAGTGAAGATGGTTCTTACACAAGGGACTCTTACACAAGGGTCTAGTTGCAGCCCCTGATTTGCTAGATCCTGGGAACCCCTTGGGAAATTTTTTTTCACTTGGGCAATTTTTTGAGTCCAACCAGTATGAAGGATTCACATATGTGTGGATCTGCTGGCCTGAGACACCCAGTAGAAGCCAGAACACAAGGACACAGAGGCCCGAGAGAAAAATCTCACTGGATAGGGTAGAAGTCTAGAATGTTGGCAGGGTGGGGCAGTGGGGGCGGGGACCAGACTGAGCAGTGAGTGCTGAATGGGAGTGATGGGTTCTATACAATATGAGGTCATTCTCCTTCTTCACCTCCTCGGCCCCCATTCCTCTTGCTCCAGAGTGCATGTGCCTTAGGAAGAAGACACCTGAATGGTAAAACTCAAGACCTGGATCACCATGGGCTTCAGCCCCTATGCCTGAGGATCCCTATAGTGAGTGGCTTCTACCCTTCACCCATCCCTCAGAAAATAGACCTGGGCAATTTGCAGAGAAAGACACTTGAATCAGAGAAAAAGCAAAACAGAAAGATTTACATGAACTAGAGAGAGATGGTGGCAAACCCCAGAAAGCACCAAAGAGCAAACCCCAGAGACTGAGGTCCACTTAGTACCACCACAAGGACAATTAGCAACATGCAGTTTAGAGTGAAACAGAGATGGAGTTCTAGCTCCTCCAATCACCACCTCTAATTAGTCAGGGTTCTCCAGAGAAACAGAACCAATATGATATTGTCTTAGTCCATTTTCTGTTGCTTATAACAGAGTACCTGAAACTGGGTAATTTATAAAGAAAAAAGATTTATCTCTTATACTTATGGAGGCCAAGAAGTTCAAGTTCTAAGGGCTGCATCTGGTGACGGCCTTCCTGCTGATGAGGACTCTGCAGGGTCTTAAGGCAGGGCAGGGCATCACATGGCGAAGGGACTGAGTGTGCTAGTTCAGATCTCTTGGTCTCTCTTCCACTTCTTTCTTCTTCTTATTATTATTGTTATTTTTTTTTTAGATGGAGTCTCCCTCTGTCACCCAGGTGGGAGTGCAATGGTGCGATTTTGGCTCACTGCAACCTCCACCTCCCTGGCCCAAGCAATTCCCCAGCCTCAGCCTCCTGAGTAGCTGGGATTACAGGCACTCGCCACCACATCTATCTATTTTTTTTTTTTTTTCAGTAGAGATGGGGTTTCACCATGTTGGCCAAACTAGTCTCGAACTCCTGACCTCAGGCAATCCGCCGGCCTCGGCCTCCCAAAGTGCTGGGATTACAGGCATAAGCCACCGTGCCCGGCCTTCCTCTTCTTATAAAGCTACCAGTCCCATTCCCATGATAACCCATTAATCTATTAATCCATTAATTTATTAATCCATTTATCCATGAATGGCTTAATCACTTCTTAAAGACCCCACCTCTCAATACCAACACACTGGAGAGTAAATGAGTCTTGGAGGGGACATGAGTTTTGGAGGGGATAAATATTCAAACCATAGCAGATACATAGAGATACATGAGAGAAAATTTATTATAGAAATTGGTGTACATGATTATGGAGGCCAATACATCCACAATATGCTGTCTGCAAGCTGGAGAACCAGGGAAGCCAGTGGTGTAAACTCTCAGTCCAAGGTAAAAGGCCTGAGAACTTGGAGAAACCACTGATGTTAAGTTCCTGGGTCCACAGGCCCACCGATCGGGGAAGCTTTGATGTCCCAGGGCAAGAAAAGATAGATGTCCCAGCTCCAGAAGAGAGCAAATTCACCTTTGCCTTTTTGTTCCATCCTGGCTCTCAATGGATTGGATGATGTCTGTCCATACTGGTGGGGGCAATCTTCTTTTCTCAGTCTACCAATGCAAATGCTAATCTCTTCTGGGAACATCCTCACAGACACACCCAGAAATAATGTTTTACCAGCTATATGGGTATCCCTTAACTCAGTCAAGTGGACATCTAAAATTAACCATCACACTACCCATCTGCCCTCGGGAAATTTATCTAACCTCTCTGAGCTTCAATTTATTCATCTATTCGTCTATAAAATCAGGCTCTTATAAAGGCTTAATGAGATCATTTCTGCAAAACACTTAGCACAGTGCTTGATGCATACTACACTCTCAAAGAGGTGGTAGACTACATCATTATGGTTGGCTAAACAAAGGACTAGCAGCATTGAGAGTAGGTGACCAGAAGGAAATGAAAGTATGGAACTCTAGATGGGGCTGGATGGCAACAGATACCCAAGAAAGTCAGAGGTGAAAACTGGGTCAGTACAATGGAGGCTGGTGGCCAGAGTGATCAACTGGCTATGGCATTTGTCCATTAGCAGTCTGAGACAAGTGAGTTTAGTAAGGGAGAAGAAATAGCAGGAGCAAAGAATGACAGAAGGATGTGCAGGGGCTGAGATTCCCTCTGTTCAGGGGGAGTTCTTACAGAGCGACAAAAAGGGGGAACTCTTGTCCAATCATTCAATAAACATCATTAAAAGGAAAGAAGGCAGGGTCCACCCCATTGGCAGGAAGCTACTAACATAGCTCATCTAGGGACAAGCTAGCCCTTTCCTAGGTTCAGAAGGCCCAGAGGACATTAAAAATACTAATGGGTTGGGCCAGGAGCGGTGGCTTATGCCTCTAATCCCAGCAATTTAGGAGGCTGAGGCAGGCAGATCACCTGCGGTCAGGATTTCGAGACCAGACTGGCCAATATGGCGAAACCCCGACTCTACTAAAAATACAAAAGTTAGCCAGGCATGGTGGCACATGCCTGTAGTCCCAGCTACTTGGGAGGCTGAGGCAAGAGAATCACTTGAACTTAGAAGGTGGAGGTTGCAGTGAGCCAAGATCGCACCACTGCACTCCAGCATGGGTGACAGAGTGAGACCCTGTCTCAAAAATAAATAAATAAGTAAATAGTAATGGCTCTTGAACATATGAAAATATATTCAACCACACTGTAAAAAGAAAAGTGCAGGAAGCTATTATTTATACATCAGAAGTACAAAAACCAGCAAGTTTAAGAACACAAGAACAAAACTGGCCAAGTGTGGTGGCATATGCCTGTAATCCCAGCTACTCTGGAGACTGAAGCACAAGAATCGCTTGAAGCAGGGAGGCAGAGGTTGCAGTGAGCCGAGATTTCACCACTGAACTCCAGCCTGGGTGACAGAGTGAGATTCCATCTCAAAAAAAAAAAAAGAAAAAGAAAAAAAGAAAAGTAAAAGAACACAAGAACAGTCCTGTACATAGTTTGTGGGAGGTTTGCATTATCTATCAAAATTACAAATCCACATACCGCCAGACCCCACAATTCCACCTCTAGGAATTTATTCTTGAAGTGGAATTTGTACTTATCACTTCTGTTCGAAATGATGTATGCCCATGGTTTTTCACTGAAGCATTATTTCATAGAAAAAGAATGGGGGCTGGGTGCAGTGGCTCATGCCTGTAATCCCCACACTTTGGGAGGCCAAGGTGGGAGGCTCACTTGAGGTCAGGAGTTCGAGGCCAGCCTGGCCAACATGGTGAAACCCCATCTCTACTAAAAATACAAAAATTAGCCAGGCATAGTGGCGGGTGCCTGTAATCCCAGCTACTCGGGAAGCTGAGGCACCAGAATCACGTGAACCTAGTAGGCGGAGGTTGCACTAAGCAGAGATCATGCCACTGCACTCCAACCAGGGCAACAGAGCGAGACGCCATCTCAAAAACAAAACAAAACAAAACAAGAATGGGGAAAAATAAACTTAAATGCTAAGTAAACAAATTAAGCTACATTCATTAAAATAGAATACTGTATAGCCACTAAAAAGAATAACAAGATGTTCTATATGTTCTGATACAGAATGATCTCCAAGGAAAAAGTAGAAATTGTGAAAAGGAGAGGGGAAAGTTGGCCACACACACACACACACACAAATTCCATCTAGTAACTCAATCTACACTATAGCAGCTGGCACAGAAAGAACAATGATTGACCAGTACCCTAGTGCCACCATTTTCCTCTGAGGCCTTGAACATTCAGTTCTCTAAGCTCCAGCCTGTGAAATGCGTTTACACATGTAAACTTATGTGTTTTTACATTACATGGTATTATTATGTTAAATTCTTGTTAGAGAAGATCAATAATAGATGGCCAGTATCTCCTGTATGACAACCATTTAAAACATTAACTATGTAATTCTTCACTTAAAAAAAAAAGCCAATTTAGGAGAATCACTTGAACCCGGGAGGCAGAGGTTGCAGTGAGCAAAGATCATGCCCACTGTACTCCAGCCTGGGTGACACAGCAAGACTCTTTCTCAAAAAAAAAAAAAAAAAAAAAAAAAAAAAGCCAGGCAGCATAGCAAGACCCCATCTCTACCAAAAAAAAATAAATTTAAAAAAAAAAAAAAACAACACTGGGCACGGTGGCTCATGCCTGTAATCCCAGCAATTTTAGAGGCTGAGGTGGGCAGATCACCTGAGGTCAGGAGTTCAAGACCAGCCTGCCAACATGGTGAAACCCCATCTCTACTAAAAATACAAAAATTGGCCGGGCATAGTAGTGGGTGCCTGTAATCCCAGCTACTCGAGAGGCTGATGCAAGAGAATCCCTTGAACCCAGGAGGCGGAGAATTGCAGTGAGCCGAGATTGTGCCACTGCACTCCAGCCTGCACCACGGAGTAAGACTCCACCTCAAGAAAAAAAAAAAAAAGCTATTTTAATGGCCCTTCTTTTTTAAAAAACCAAATACAATTATTTGTCTTTCTATTTTTCTCAACACTATCTTTTTCATTGCATGGCTGTACGCTTAGATCAAGTTTTCAACCTGCAAAGATGCTAGAATTATGTAGATAATATGGCATTTGGGAGAGAAAAATACTAGTAAGACATGGGAAAAAAACCACATCAGGGAAGGCAGTGATCAGTATTCTATAAAAATAGGATCTAGGAAAACATCCATGCAATGTCACCAACTCAGGTGTTGGCACGAGAAGAGGGAGTCTAGCCGATTTTGTTCCTGATTACAAATATACTCCCTAGGCTGATGAGGACCAAAAGTAACAAGAAACATTAAGATGATCAGGCTCATTTTCAGTGATTAGTTTTCCCATGGGAGTCAACCTTCCAGAAGCACCTGGCCCATCACAACAAACAGCCGCTTAGGGCCTTGAATACTGGTAAAGTCAGGTTACCTGGGAGTAGCAGCTGTCTCCATTCCTCTCATTTACAACATTGCTGGGGAATGGGGGTTCTTTAAAGAAAAAAGTTAAAATGGGAGACAGCATGATCTATTTTCAGGCCTTTTCCCCCAGGAACTAGTCCACTGCCAACATTTTGCCTGTCACTTCTAGGTTGTTGACTCTTATAGTCAAATCCTGTCTTCTTTCCTGCCTAGGATATGTTTCTGTATGAATTGCACTCTTTTCTTAAAATGAATGTTTTCTTAAAAAACACATTATCATCTTCCAAAATAGCTTCCTCACCAGGCTTCCCGTGTCCATCAATTTTTATTATTTTTCTCTCCCTCTTTTCCCAATCATGCAAGCTCCTAACACCGGAGTCTGAACAATCACAACAGCCATCTACATGATCATCCTGCCTCTGGTCCCACCCACCCTTTAATGAATCCTGCATACAACAGCCAGATTAATCCTCCTAAACATGACCTTCATCATCCTCTCTACTCAAAAACCTTCACTGGCTTTCTAATGGCCTGTAGAATAGTCCAAAATACTTGTGGGACATTAAAGGCGTACTATAAGGTGTGCTCCTCCTCCTCCAAATCTATTTCTCACTGTCTCTTTACAGCAGCATTTCTCAACCTCAGCTGGACATTTTGGACCTGACAATTATGGACATTCTGGACCCGACAATTTATTGTCGGCGGCTCTCAGGGATGTGGTAGAACTTTTGGCAACATCCCTGGCCTCTACTCACTACATGCCAGTAGCACCCCCTGTATCCCAATTATGACAAAAATGTCTTCCAACATTGCCAAATGTCCCCTCTGAGGGGCAAAATCACCCCAGCTGAGAGCCACCACTCTATAGGAAGCTCAACTCTGTTCTCCCACCCCAAAAATAATAATAAAAATAGACATTCATTCATTCATTCATTTGTAGATGTATGATTGTGCCTCTTTGTTTTGCCATATTACTTATCCTACTAGAAGGCTTTAAAAAGCTTAAAACCCTTGCAGGAATGGGAATCTTAAGTATTAGAGAGATAAAGACCAAACAGATCTCTAACTTTGGTACACAAAGCCCTCCAGCATCTGGCCCCAGGCTTATCTCTTCCCCATCATCTTCCACCAGCTCACCCTCACAGTCTTTACTCCATGCAAAAAGTTTCCCTGGAAAACACTGGTTTCTCAGCTTCCAGCCTCCCGCAGGTTACTCCCTCTGCCTCTCTTCACAGCTCGGGGGCCACAGATTCTCTTAGTCTGGGCCTCAGGGTCCTGAGTACCTGCTCCGTCTGCACAGCCTGTGGCCCTGTGCACACCTCTGTCAATATCCTTAGCACACTGTATTGGCATGTACATCTATTTCTCTGACTCCCCAACTAGACTATGAGCAATTTAAGGGTTAACTCTGTATAATACTTACCATTGTTTCTACAAAGCCAAGCACAATGCTCTGACATGTAGTCAAAATAAAGATAGCTCACATGTATTGAGTGATAACTGTATTGAGTGTTGTTCAAAGCACTTAGCATGTTTTTATTAACTCAATTATGCTTCAAAAAACCCATAAAATATACATATCATTATCCTCATTTTACAGATGAGAAAACTGAAGCTTATACTAGAAAATAAACCTAGATAGGCTGGTTTCAAAGCCTAAACTTTTAATCCACCACACTAATAGATAACTAATGAATTTTTTTCTTGAATGAATGAATGATATTACATCTCAGTGAGAATATCAATATATACTGGGCTTTGTATCAGTCAGCATTTTCCAGAGAGAACCTCTGGATTTCAAGACCAGCCTGGGCAACAAAGCAAGACCTTATCACTAAAAAATAAAACTTTTTTTTTAATTAGCAGACACAGTAGCATGCACCTGTAGTTCTAGCTACTCAAGAGGCTGAGGCATGAGGATTGCTTGAGCCCATGTTTCATATATATGCTTTTGGGTCTGTTCTCTGGAAGAACACTGACCTAGATTTTTTTTTTGAGACAGAGTCTCACTCCATCACTCAGGCTAGAGTACAGTGGCATGATCTTGGGTCACTGCCACCTTCATCTCCCAGGTTCAAGTGATTCTCTTGTCTCAGCCTCCTAAGTAGCTGGGATTACAGGCATGATCCACCATGCTCAGCTAATTTTTGTATTTTTAGTAGAGACAGGGTTTTCCCATGTTGATCAGGCTGGTCTCAAACTCCTGACCTCAAGTGATCCACCCGCTTCAGCCTCCTGAAGTCCTGGGATTACAGGCCACCATGAGCTACCTGACTCGGCCTGACTGAGAATATTTTTAGATATATATATCTAGAGAGAGATATTTATCTTAAGGAATTGGTTCTTGCGATTGTGGAGGCTGGCAAGTCAAAAATCTGCAAGGCAGGCCAACAGGCTAGAGCCCCAGGGAAGATTTGATATCACAGTCTTGAGTCTGAAGACAGTCTGGAGACAGAATGCCTTCCCCTTCGAAGGTTCTTTTCTCTGAAAGCGTGCAACTGATTGAATGAGGCCCATCCACATTATAGAAGGTAATCTGCTCAACACAAAGCCTACTGAATTACATGTTAATCACATCTCTAAAATACATTCACAGCAACATCTAGACTAGCGTTTGACCAAACAACTGGGTATCATAACCTGGTCAAATTGACACATAAAATTAATCATCACAGGCTTACCACAGATGAGCAAATCTGGGGCAAATGAGAACTGGTATATTCCACAGCAATCATCCCTCCCCTGCGCTCAATAGCAATAGTTATCTATTCTACCCATTGAGGTATATTATACATTGACTTGCTTTATTGTTTATTTTTTATTTCCATTTGTCTTGTCTCACCAACTAGACTAAAAACTCTTTCAGGCAGGAAGCATGTCTTCTAATTCTGTAGAATCACAATGGAGATAAGCACACAGCAGGTACTCACAATGTGTTAGATAAAAGAATAAGTTTTAAGAATGATGATAAAAATAAATAAGCTAAGAAAACCCTCTGGATAGATAAATCAATAGTGTTAACCTCACTGCCCTGACTGAACAAGGTTTGATCAACTGCCAGAGATCCCTTCTTTTAAACACAAAAGTAAACATCTTCATCTTCTGCCCTCTTGAGTTTAAGTTTGTACTCCCTAGAACCACTTAAGGTTTTTGAACATTGTCAAAGGGATGTTTCTATTTGGAGGATCTGAGAGTGGAAGCCATGTTGGATGAAGCAGAGAAGTCTAAGGTGGTTTGAGGCCCAGAAGGTATCAACAAACTAGGAAGAGTGATGGAGATTATGTATTTATGTATTTATGTATTTATTTATTTATTTATTTATTTATTTATTTATTTATTGTTGGAGACCAGGTCTTGCTCTATCACCCAGGCTAGGCTGGAGTGCACTGACACCACCATAGCTCACTGCAGCTTCAAACATATGGGCTCAAGCAATCCTCCTGCTTCAGCTTCCCAAGTAGCTAGAACTACAGGAGCATGCTACATGCCTAGCTATTTTTTTTTGTGGTGATAGGGTCTTGCTGTGTTGCCCAGGCTGGTCTCAAACTCCTGGATTCAGGCAATCCTCCTGCTTTGGCCTCCCAAAGTGCTGGTATTACAGGCGTGAGCCACCATGCCCAACCAGTAGCCATATTTTAAAGAAAAACAAAGTCAAAGCTATTTGAAGTATTCCAGAGTATTTTTTCAAATGTATGGCAGGGGGAATGTTCTAAATTATATTTTAAAGCTAGCATAACAGTGATAACAAAGCCAAACAAAGATGTCATGACAAAACTTTACACCAATCTCACTTTCAGTATCAATTCAAAAACTTAAATATAATAAATACAATAGCAAACAAAATCAAGCAGCTCATAAAAGAATAATACGCCATGACTAAATGGGGTTTATTGCAGAAATGCAAGGCTATTTTTCTATTAGGAAATGTAATATATAATTTACCATGTCTGGCAATGAAAAGAGAAAAGTCATATGATTATTTCCATGACTGCTGAAAAGAGATATGATATTTGATAAAATTGCAGTGTTTATTCTAAATAAAATCTGTTACTAAATAGCTTCTTTTATTTTTTATTTATTTTTGAGACAGGGTCTCTCTCTGTCACCAGGGTGGAGTGCAGTGGCAAGATCTCTGCTCACTGCAACCTCCACCTCCTGGGTTCAAGGGATTCTCTTGCCTCAGCCTCCCAAGTAGCTGGGACTATAGGTGCATGCCACCGTGCACGGCTAATTTTTGTTTAGTAGAGATGAGGTTTCACCATGTTGGCAAGGCTGGTTTCAAATTCCTGGCCTCATGTGATCCACCTGCCTTGGCTTCCCAAAGTGCTGGAATTATAGGCGTGAGCCACCGCACCAGGCCAAAAATAGTTTTTTAAATTCAATTAAACAAAAATTTATTAAACATTTACTGTATGCCAGGGAGAGTTCTAGGCCCTCAGGCTATGGCAGTGAATAAAACAGACAAATATCTCTGTACTCTTGAGGCTTAAATTTTAGTGCTGGACACGCACAATAAACACATGTCATGATTAAGTAAATTGTAAGAAGACAATAAGTCATATGGAAAATAAAGTAGAATGGATAGGAAAATGAGGAGAGCTCAGAGTGGGAGGCAAGAGTCATTTTAAATTGGGTGGTCAGGCCAGGCACAGTGGCTCACACCTGTAATCCCAGCACTTTGGGAGGCCGAGGCTGGTGGATAACTTGAGGTCAGGAGTTCAAGGCCAGCCTGACCAACATGGCAAAACCCCATCTCTACTAAAAATACCAAAAAAATTAACTGGGCATGGTGGCAGGCACCTGTAATCCCAGCTACTCAGGAGGCTGAGGCATGAGAATTGCTTGAACCGAAAAGATGCAGGTTGCAGTGAGCCAAGATCACACCATTGCACTCCAGCCTGGGTGACAAAAGCAAAACTCCATCTAAAAAATAAAATAAAATAAAATAAAAAATAAAAATAAATTGGGTGGTCAGCATAGGCTCAGTGAGAAGGTGGCACTCAGCAGATAGTTGAAGGAGATGAGGGAATGAGCCAGGCAGATTTCTGGGGGAAGAGTTTTTCTGAGCAGAAAGAACATGCCAGTTAAGTTGAAGAAACAGCAAGGAGGCCAGTGTGGCTGAAGTTTATTTTAGTATAAGGAGGGAGGTCGGGTGTAATGTTTGAAGTTATGACAATGACATGTTCACAGAACTACATCAAAAGGCAGAAAGGACAGCATCTTGTACCATGTTTCTTCTTATCAGAGAGGAAAGTATGTCCTGAAGCTCTATAGCAGACTTCATAAAACTGTCAATTCTCCCCAAATTCATCTATACATTTGATGCAATCTCATTTGTTAAAACCAACAGAATTTTTTAATGTGTAAGCTGATTTCTCAAGTTTATATAGGAGAGAAAGAAGAAAATACCAAGACAAAAACTCCAAAATTGAAGGACAAATAAGGGAAATACAACTTATCTGCTAGTAAAATAACTGGACAGTCATCTGAAAGAAAATAAAGTTGAATCCCTACCTCACATCTTAAACTAAAATAAATTCCAGATTGGCCAAAGAGGGAAGAGACTTTAGAGAAAACATTGAATAGAAGACTAACTTTCCACTGTAAACTTTCTGTCATTTAAATTGCATAGTGTATGCATTGTCAATTTAAAAATCATTGTATTTAAAACATACTCAGATTCTTACATAAGCAATATAGCATACTAGAAAGCCACAGACCTGAGAATCTAGTTGTGTTTTCTAGTCCTAAATTTGCACTAATAAAGTTACAACCTTGGACAATTCATCTTCTTTTCATCTCTAAAGTGTATTAGGTCAGACGGATTCCTGTGTCTTTGGCTCTAAAACTCTCTAACACGTTAAATTTAAGCTTATAAACTGACCTATGAGTACTTTTTCTACTGTAACTGGTTTTAGTGGTTTTCCTAATAAACAACAGATCCTTTGTTGTGGAATTTAGCTTCAAACATTATTCAGTGCCCACTCCAGTCACACCATTACCACCAATGAAGACAGCAGGCAAAGTGCATTTTAGGGCTCAGCCAGGAGTTTCTGGCCTGTCAGTGGTTGGCCCTCTCTCATACTATACAAATAGATAAGGAAAGGATTGCCTCATGGGATTGAATGCCTTGGGTGGTGAAGCCTGTGACTCATACCAGAGATTGCCGAAGGGACTCTACGGTCCATAGCCAATCAGCTTCCATGATTCAGAGGCCCATTGTCTGGTTTGAGGCTTATTTGGATCTTTAGCTTTTTTCTGTGCCCCACCTTTTGACTATCCTACAAAATACCTCCACCAAAAAAGGAAAAGAATAAAAACATAAATCAATCTACTACTTGTTAACAACTTTACCAAAATAATAGCAATTGTTAGCTACCATAGCCAACAGGCAAATAATTTTATGTGTTTCAAGAAACTTAAAAACTGAAAAGCATCTTAGCCATCATCTAGTCTAAACCACACATTTTACAGATGAGAAAAGTGAGGTTTAGTGAGGTGAAAATGACTTGCTTAAGGTACACAGCCAGTTCCTGGAAAATCCAACCCCAAAAAGTTCATGTGTTCCAGCACCTGGTCTGAAGCTGTTTCCACCTGTTATCTTTCATCCTTAAATTATTTTCAAAACTGTGCTGATATGCTTGTGTAAGAACATCATCAGCCTAATAAAAGTATGTATTTTTTTCCTAATAATGGTTTGGCTTCATCTGCTCTATCCGGACTCTGATATTGTTTAGACCTATGACCTTGGGAGTAGAGCTTCTAAGCAGAAAACTGAGGGAAGAGACTGAAATCTAAGAAAATCTAAATGCCAGTTTAGAACTGCCCTGGAGGGTGTATTTCTTACCCAGCCCTCCCTGCCACCATCAGTTTCCAGTCACATCCCCAGGAACACTTGTCGTCAGACTTTTTTTTTTTTTTTTGGTAACATTCTGTCCCTCCCTTTCCACTCCCATCTGCAGCCAAAATGATTCTTAGAGCTTATCTCAGACACATGCCCAACCTAATTCTACCCAGGAAATAGCTGTCAGCAAATTTCCTTGGGGGTTTGTAATTCCCTTTAACTTAAGTAGGTCGTTGCACTAAAGGAAGTATAAAGATGGAATGAATGAGAATAAGCTGCTGGATGGGGCTTGTGTGAGATCTGTGAAAATGGAGGGAAGATGGGCAGAGTGGCAGGGTGAGGCCAGCAAGGGAAGTCCCCCTGGGAGCTTTTGGATGACTCAGACCTCACAGCCTTACTAGTCAGACAGGCTGACAGAGTCAGAAAGAGTGAATGTTTAAGGGACCCTAATCCTAACGACGTGGAGTCACTGTTCTGCCTGCGTCTATACATATTTCTTCTCAAAGAAAGAAGGGCTCCGAAGAGCACAAGAGACAAGCTATATGGGAAGATGCCATTTTGCAAGTTGAGAAGAGGTGCTTGGGGCTGAAAAGGTGGAGATGGATGACCTGCAATGCAGAGGTCTTATTAACATAGTTGACTTGCTTCCAACAAAAACCAAATGATCCCTTTCTCACCAAGCTGCCCGATCTCCCTTTGAAAAGTCCATTCGGATAAGTAGAGACCTAAAATCCACAAAATAAACATCCCCGGTTGGATGCAGTGTCTTGGGTAAGACACCTTGTGGGGTTAGGCTGAGTAACACCAGAGTAAAATGATAAGGATTATCTTTCAGGGAGAAGGAGGGAGGAGTCACCAGGGGGAAGAAACATTGTGGGAAAGTGAATATTGCTGACAGGCACAACCCTGGCATATTCTTACATGAGTGCCCTGAGACTCTCTGACATAGATGGCCTTGACCTTCTCTCAAAACCTCCTAGAAGCCTGCTTCCTGTCAAGTGCAGCAAAGCCTACCCCACCACCCCCAGCACACACCCCACCTCATCACAGGATATGGTCTTGTTTGCCATTGCTTAGCCACGGCAACTGTACCTACCAGGCTATAGGTATTTTACCTGTGAAGAGATAGAAACAAGCTGTCTCATTAAACGTGGGTTTACCACTGTTGCCCCTAAAATTTTGACTCTTAGGATACATGGTGACATACGCTAGAAATCTATTGATAAGGTGAGGTTGCTCCCTAAGACTCCTCTGCTCTGTAGTACACACACATCCAGGCATTCATTCATGTATTAAAAATTGTGCAGTGCTTATTAAGCAACAGGCAGTGCAAGCAGGAATATACAAGGGTGAGAAAACTGCCCTCTTGAACCACATACTGCAGTCAGGAGAAGCACTGTCCCGGAGAAATAACAACGTGAGTCATACATGTAATTTTTTTTTCTTTTTTTGAGATGGAGTCTCACTCTGTTGCCCAGGCTAGAGTGCAGTGCCACGATCTCGGCTCACTGCAACCTCCACCTCCCAGGTTCAAGCGATCTCATGCCTCAGCCTCCCAAGTAGCTGGGATTACAGGCACCCACTGCTATGCCTGGCTAATTTTTGTATTTTTAGTAGAGACGGGGTTTCACCATGTTGGCCAGGCTGGTCTCGAACTCCCGGCCTCATGTGATCCACCCTCCTTGGCCTGCCAAAGTGCTGGGATTACAGGCATGAGCCACGCACACCCAGCCTAGTAGCCATGTTTTAAAAGGATAGAAAGAAACAACTGAAATTGATCCTAACAATATATTTTAGTTAATACAATATACCCAAATTATTATTGTGTCAACATGTAATCTATATTTTAAAGTTATTAATGAGACAGATTACATTCTGTTTTGTACTGAGTCTTTGAAATCCAGGGTATATTTAATATTTTTACTTAACAGCCTGTGACAGTTACTATTAGGTGTCGACTTGACTGGATTGAAGGATGCCTGGATGGCTGGGGAAGTATTATTCCTGGGTGTGTCTGTGAGGGTGTTGTCAGAGGAGACTGACATTTGAATCCGTGGACTGGGAGAGGGAGACCCATCCTCAGTATAGGCGGGCACCATCCAATCGGCTGCCAGCGCGTCTAGAACAAAACGGGCAGAAAAGGGGAAGAAACAGCTTCCTGAATCCTCTCCCACACTCTCTCTTCCTGTGCAGGATGCTTGCTTCCTTTCCTCCTGCCCTTGGACATCAGACTCCAGGTTCTTAAGGCTTTGGACTTCGGGACCTGCCTGCACCAGCAAACTTCTGGGGGCTCTCAGGCCTTCAGCCTCAGCCAGGAGGCTGCCCTGTTGGCTTTGCTAATTTTGAGGCTTTCAGACTTGGATTGAGCCATTCTCCCAGCTCCTCTCTTTCCCCAGCTTGCAGATGACCTACTGTTGGACTTCACATTGTAATCCTGTGAGCCAGTTCTCCCTGATAAACTCCCTTTTATTATATACCTCTGTCCTATTGGTTCTGTCCCTAATACAGATTTTGGCACCAGGTGTGGTTCTAAAGGAATAGAATTTTAAGGATGAATTTCCTTCATTGGTTTGGGGTTTCTGGAGTTGGCTATCGAATCAAATTAAACCCAAAAATGCTAAAGACTCTCATTTCTAATAGTACAGACAGCACTGATAGTTATTGGTGTAAGCTGTTTAGAGTTATACAAAATAAATGCATTTGATATTCCTGATTCCCTGCTCCTGAGAGGCAAGGAGTTTAGTGACTCTATAAGTGATACCTTTGAACATTTGTGGAGAACCAAGGAATATAGTGAAGTTGGTTGATTGCTCCTAAGTTCACTGGGCAAAATGATGAAAGAAAAGGATAAGCTCAGGGATTCTATCTCCAGGCTCCAGAAGCACACACTGAGCTCAAATCTTCTAAGACTGCCCTGGGTGAGAGTCTGCTCTTCTGTAAACAGACGGCTGAAATTGCTGAAAATCAGACACAAGCTGTTACTATGCAAGTGATTGACCTGCAACGAAAGGTACATGCTCAGCCTCACTGGATGTCTACTGTTAAAGGGAGGACATTGATTGGAAAAGAGTGGGACCCTGAAAGTTGAGATGGGGACACGTAGAGGGGCCCTAATGAAGCTGGGAATACTGAGATAATAAATTCTGATGAGCCTTTTTAGCAAGAGGGAATCGCCTCCCCACCCCCAGTGGTAGAAACATGCCCTTGCCCATCTACTGCAGTACCAGGCTTTCCGTCTTTGAGATTAACCCTGCATTACCCAGGGAAACAGTGATGGCCTCCCCTAAGGCAGATGCCAGGAAAGACAATGCTGGTTCTCCCCCCACCTGTTTGCCTCTGTACTCTAACTGGACTCCAGACCCAGCAGGACCCTAGAGGTAGGATTCAGGGTGTGACCTATGAGAAGGCATGCTACACTGAAAAAGGTCTACTGAGTTTTCTAATTTATATAAGCAGAAATTCGGGGAACAGGTATGGGAATGGATATTAAGGGTGTGGGATAGTGGAGAAAGGGCCATAAAGTTGGATCAGGCTGAATAAATTGCTATGGGCCCTCTAAGCAGAGACTGCCTTTAATGTTGCAGCTCGGGGAGTTAAAAAAGGTTGTAATAGTTTATTTATTTGCTTGGTTAGCTGAAACATGGGTCAAAAGATGGCCCACTGTGAGTGAACTGGCGATGCCTGATTTCCCTTGGTTTAATATAGAGGAAGGATCCAAAGGCTTAGGGAGATTGGAATGCTAGAATGAATTTGTCACTGAGGACCTACTCATCCCAAGTGGGAGGGTCCAGAATACACAACTTTCACCAGTATCTTGCAAAATAGATTTGTGAAGAGAGCACCAGCATCCTTGAAGACCTCTGTGATTGTTCTTTTCTGTATGCCAGATCTTACAGTGGGAACCACAGCCACCCAACTGGAAAACTTAAATGCAATGGGAATAATTGGATCCTGAGATGACAGAGGCCAAGTAGCAGCACTCATCCGTCAAAGGCAAGGTGGGCATAGTTAGTAGTGGACAGCAGAGGCAAAGTAGCAATCAGAATAGTCTGACACCTGTAAAGCTCTAGGATTGGCTAATTAATCATGGTGTTCCTAGAAGGGAAATCAACAGGAAGCTTACCACCTTCTTACTTGATCTATATAAGCAGAAAACTTCCAGGTCAAGTGACCAAAAGTCTAATTTGAATTATGAAAACAGAGAATCATGGCCCTTCAATCAATTTCCAGACTGGAGCCAGCTTACAGATCCAAAACCCCTTGAATGAAGGGGAGGCTGGGTCCTCTTGAGGAAGGACCCCACTACACTACTGAAATTTCATACTGTTAATCATTCTCCCAACCTTCGTCTGGCCTTTTAGCAGGGTAACTGTGCATGGAGGAAAGGAAATTAATCAGAACTTTTGGGAACTACTGGATACTGCCTCTGAGCCGACATTGATTCCAGGGGACCCAAAATACCATTGTGGCCCTCCAGTTAGAGTAGGAGCTTATAGGTGTCAGGTAATTAATGGAGTTTTATCTCAGATCTGTCTTACAGTGGGTCCAGTGCGTCCCTGGACCCATGCTGTGGTCATTTCTCCAGTGCCAGAATGCATAATCAGAATAGACATACTTAACAGCTGTCAAGGTCCCCACATTGGTTTCCTGGCCTGTGGGGTGAGGGCTACAATGGTGGGAAAGGCCAAATGGAAGCTGTTAGAACTGCCTATATCTATGAAAATAGTAAATAAAAAATAATATTGCATTCCTAGAGAAATTGCAGAGATTAGTGCCACCATCAAGGACTTGAAAGATACAGGGGTGGTGATTCCCACCACATCTCCATTCAGCTCTCCTATTTGGCCTGTGCAGAAGACATAGATCTTGGAGAATGACAGTAGATTATCATTAGCTTAACCAAGTGATAACTCCAGTTTCAGCTGTTCTACTAGATGTGGTTTCATTGCTTGAGCAAATTAAAACATCTCCTGTTACCTGGTATGCAGCTATTGATCTGGCAAATGCCTTTTTCTCCATCCCAGTCCATAAGCCCCACCCAGCAGCAATTTGTCTTCATCTGGCAAGGCCAGCAATATACCTCAGGGATATTCAACTCTCCAGCTTTGTGTCATAATCTTGTTTGCAAAAATCTTGATCGCTTTTCCCTTCCACAAGATATCACACTGGTCCATTACATTGAGGACATTATGCTGATTGGACGCAGTAAGCGAGAAGCAAGTACTCTGGACTTACTGTGAGACATTTGCATGTCAGGGGATGGGAAATAAACCTGACTAAAATTCAGGGGCCTTCCACCTCAAAATTTCTAGGGGTCCAATGGTGTGGGACCTGTCGAGATATTCCATCTAAGGTGAAGGATAAGCTGTTGCATCTGGCCCTTCCTACAACCAAGAAAGTGGCTGATATTGTTTGCCCATGTCCCCACCCAAATCTCACCTTGAATTGTAATAATCCCCATGAGTCAATGGCGGGGCCAGGCAGAGATAATTGAATCATGCAGGTGGCTTCTCCCGTACTGTTCTTGTGGTAGTGAATAAGTCTCATGAGATCCGAGGATTTTCTAAATGGGAGTTCCCCTGCACATGTTCTCTTGCCTGCCACCATGTAAGACATGACTTGGCTCCTCACTTGCCTTCCACCATGATCGTGAGGCCTCCCCAGCCATGTGGAACTGTGAGTCAATTAAACCTTTTTCCTTTATAAATTACCCAGTCTTGGGTATGCCTTCATTAGTCGCAGGAGAACAGACTAACACCTAGTGAGCCTATTTGGATTTCCAAGGCAACACACTCCTCATTTGGGTATGTTACTTCAGCCCATTTATTGAGTGGCCCGAAAGGCTGCTAGTTTTGAGTGGGACCCAGGACAGGATAAGACTACACAACAGGTCCAGGCTGCTGTGAAAGCTGCTCTGCCACTTATGCCATGTGATCCAGCAGATCCAGTGGTACTTGAGGTGTCACTGGCTCCAGATAGAGATGCTGTCTGGAGCCTCTAGCGGGCCCTCCTAGGTGAATTACAGCAGAGGCCTCTAGGATTTTGAAGCACAGCCTTACCATCTTCTGCAGGTAACTAATCTCCTTTCGAAAGATAGCTCTTGGTCTGCTACTGGGCCTTGGTGGAAACTGAACATTTGACTATGAGTCACCAAGTTATCAGGCAATCTGAGCTGCCTATCATGACCTGGGTGCTTTCTGACCCATTTAGCCGTGAAGTTGGGCCTACACAGCAGTATTTCATCATCAAATGGAAGTGGAATATATGTCAGTGGTCTCAAGCAGGTCCTGATGGCACAAGTAACTTACCCGAAGAAGTGGCCCAAATGCCATGGTCCTCACTTCTGCTACCCAGCCTTCTCTCTCCCAAGCTGTACCTATGGCTTCATGGGGAGTTCCCTATGATCAGTTGGCAGAGGAAGAGAAGAGAAGATGGTTTGCAGATGG